>NC_000010.11:5313030-5464545 GCF_000001405.40 Homo sapiens | reverse complement strand
GAGACAGAGTTTCACTTTGTCACCTAGGTTAGAGAGCAGTAGTGCAGTCTCAGCTCACTGCAACCCGTGCCTCAGCCTTCCAAGTAGCTGGGATTAGAGGCCTGTGCCACCATGCCTGGCTAATTTTTGTATTTTTAGCAAAGAAGGGGTTTCATCATGTTGGCCAGGCTGGTCTCAAACTCCTGGCCT
The DNA here is from genome assembly GCF_000001405.40 of Homo sapiens. NCBI lineage: Eukaryota > Metazoa > Chordata > Mammalia > Primates > Hominidae > Homo > Homo sapiens. Next base: position 5,464,356 of record NC_000010.11, on the reverse strand, counting down.
CAAGTGATCCACCGCCTTGGCCTCCCAAAGTATTGGGATTACAGGCGTGAGCCACTGCGCCAAGCCTGTATATCTTCTTTGGTGAGATGTCTGTTCAGGTCTTTTGTGAGTTTTTTAATTGGGTCATTTTCTTATTGTTGAGTTTTAAGAGTTCTTTGCATATTGTGGATAACTGCCCTTCATCTGGTGTGTCTTTTGCAAATATTTTCTTATAATCCGTGGCTTGTGTTCTCATTCTCTTGAAGTAACTTCTTTTTCATACTTTCCTGAATTTTCCTAATTTTCCATGATAAAAATGTATAATTTTAGCATCAGAAGAAATATGTTTAAAGCTCTAATATTTTACTAAATCGATATTTTATCATTATCTAATTTTTGCTTTAGAAAGATCATTTGGCTGCTATATGGAGGATGGATTGAAGAATGGTGAGAGTTTGGGGACCCGTGAAAGGCTAATGCTGTACTTCAGGCAAGAGCTTTCTGCAGCTAATAGTGTTTGGAACAATGAAGGCAGTGGGAAGTGGTAGAATTCTGAATGCATCACGGAGCTGACACAGCCTATGGATGGAGTGGTCAGGGAGCATGAGTAAAGTAGAGGAATCAAGAATGGGTGGAGAGTGGCGCCGTTTACTAAGATGTGGAAGACTGGGGGTGCAGAGGATTCAGGATGGAAAAGCTAGAGTCCTCTCGGGTTCTGTTAAGCATGAAGCACATCAGACTTGAAGAGGACATGTCAAGTAGGATCTGGGTAGCAAGTCAGGAGCTCAGAGGGGTGGTCAGAACTGGAGATGTAAATCTGGAAGTTGTCAGGTGTTGGTGGTTAAAGCCATGGGATGGATCAAACTCCCCAGTAGATAAAACAAGATGTCTGGGAACTAAGCCATGGCTTTCCAACATTTACAGGTCTGGAAGAACAGAGGTCCAAAGGGAGAAGAGGCGAGGGCGGTAGGAGATGAGGAGAGTGTGCTGGTACCCAAGAGCGGAGGAGGTGTTCCAGGTGCTGCCGAGGTTGAATCTGATGAATTACTCCTGGAAGCTGCCGGCTGCTGGAGATGGGAGCTGGGGTTGAGGGTGGCTTAGAGGAAGGTGGGGGTGGGGGTGGCCTAGAGAAAGCTGGGGAGTCAGCGTGCAAAGGGAGCAGGGACGTCTGGGCACGAGTGCAGTTGTGTGAGCTGATGATGGAGGGGGAAGGGGTGCAGGTTTAGGAGGCCGACCCTGGATACTGGTACTTGGGGGAGAATCGGAGGTGGGGAGCATGCATGGTAAAGAGCTGCTTTGCCCTGGGAGGGCACCACTGAGCCCAGCATTTAGAGCATGGCCTGGGAGTTTGGGGTAGGGTAGAATGGGGCAGGGGGACCACATCTCAGGCTGGAGGGAGGGCAGGCTGGACGGGAGAGGAAAAGCCGGTGCCTGGTGGGACAAGGTGAAGGAGGGAAGGAAGAACAACAAATACAGGGGCACTCAGATGCATTTAATCTCAGCTTTGCCACAAGCCAGCTGCCTGATCTTGGGCAATTCACTTGATGTTTGTAGATTTCAGGTTCCTCAGCTGGCAAAGGGGATCAGACTAAGTGATCCATGTGGGTTTCCAGGTCTAACTTGATAGATCTGTCCCTGCTTGTCCTGCCCAGTGAAAGAGGAAAACAAAAGGCTATCCCACCCGCCCCCAGCAGCAGCTGTTGAGCAATGTCGATTCTATGGGAGATTATCAGATTCCTCTGAATCTAGCTAATTTTGCCTTACTTTCCAGTCTACTCAACAGCAAACATTTCCAGGTATTGTAACGCTATCTCCTTTCTTAGAAGACGGTAATGCAGCTAGTGCACTGGCCGTTGGTGAAATTCTCAGGGCCAGGCTGGGTGGATTGCTTCCTGGGGGGCCGAGGAGCTTCCTCAGTGTCTTCTCATTGCCTCAGCTCACACGGAGTGTGGCAGCCACGTTTGTGTGGCAGAGAAAAAGGTGTTGGCAAAGGAAACAAATCATGGTAGAGAGATACAAGGAGGAGAGGAGAGGGAGGAAAGGGGCTGTATTAATGAAGCCAGAATCCAGATTAGCCTAATATGACTGCCAAGTTGTAATGGAGAGAACAGCAAGTGTGAAATTCAGGCAAAAGGTCTGCGTTTCTGTGAGACAGTAGATAGCAAATGCAGTATTTTGAAAAGCAAAGGCTGAGGGTTTGGCGAGAGTTAAGAGGCTGAGGAGCTGGAAGCATTATAGATAACTGGAATTCCACAAGTTCTTTTCTTCCTTTTCGTTTTTTAAAGCGGTGGTTTCTTCGCGTGTCGCCCAGGCTTAGTGTAGTGCTAGTCACAGGCAGGGTCATGGCTCACTGCAGCCTCAAACTCCTGGGCTCAAGCGATCCTCCCATCTCAAGTCTCCCGAGTAGCTGGGGCTACATGTGCCACCACACTTTCTTTTTAACTTCTGCTTTTTTAGTAAAGAATCTCCAATATACACACAAATGTGTGTAAAGAGTATGATGAATTTCCTGTGTGTCTGATCCAGCTTCAGTGATTCCCAACTTATGGCCAATCTTGTTTCATTTTTGTCCCAACCATTCTCCTGCCTCGTAATTTCAAAGAAAATCCCAATTGTCGTTCAATTTTACCCATAAACATTTCAGTAAATGCCTCTATGACTCTGATCACAGTGCTATTGTTAAACACGAAAATCTAACAGTAACTGCTTGACTTTAAACATACACTCAGTGCTGGATATTTTCTTATTTAAAAAGTTTGATTTAGCTCTAAATGAGGGCGATGCATTGCAATTGTCTCTTAGGTCATAGATTCCCCTCCATCTCTCCTTTTTCTGGTTTCTATTTCATTGAAGAAATTCTACTTGTCTTAGTTTCCTGGAGATCAGATTCATGTGTGACCTTGGCAGGCCTTAGCTGGGATGCGGGTCCCTCGGGAGTTAGTGGCTTGTGTGTTCTGTGCCTTTGATGATCCTTCAATGCATCAGGGCTATGAGATGGCGACACTACCATTCCTTCATTTATTAGCTGGGCTGCTGCTCCACAGACAATCTCCCCTTTGTTAGCTATTTGGTTGCTCTGATAGTCTGCAGATGAAATAGGAGGATAAATGCCTGATTCTTTTCCTTTATTTACAGTTTTCAAAGCCCTACATTCGTTCCCTGAGATACTCCAAAGGAAATCAAAGTTTTTATTTTGTGAAGAATCATTATGTAGCTATGGGCTTAAATGTGTCTGATGTTTCAATCCATGGTAGTTATTATCCTAATGAGCTCTAATTGTCTCAAGCACTTTTAAATTAATGCCCCACTCGTCATGAGACACCTGTGCGTCTCTGTACAGGACCGTGTCATTCCAGGCTTAGGAAAGGCACCTGCTTTCACTCAAGTCTGCATCCATCCGTCTCACAAGCAGCCCACCTTCTAAGAAAACAGGCACATTTCTTGACTGAACAGGTCTTAGAAGAGAGAAGTATTCTGAAGCTAAGGCTATGTGGTATCAGATTGAAAGTACTTTACAAAAGCATACTTGATACTTTTATATTATCCCAAAGAAACATATTCAGCACGGTCGAATGTGTCACAAGTGTGACTTAGCAGACCAGCGAGAAGTGTGAAAGGTTGATGTTTTTGACTCTTCTTTATATAACAAACGTGATGTCAGTGCACGGAGAACCCACAGGAACAAAGTGAATCCGTGTTCCCCGGCAGGTTCCCTGGAGTCCTGTCAGGACAGACAAGAGGATCTCAACTTGGCATCCACAGGGTGGTCTGGGGAATATCCCTGAAGTTCCAAAGTCATGTGGATGTGGATGTACATACATTTTCCTGGGGAGAGGGTCCTGGCTGTCATTAGAACCTCAAATATGCATGCTGTAAGCGTAAGTACCACTGGACTCGAATAACCGTCCCTCCGGGAGAAGTCTTTGGTCTTGCAGTTGGTCCTGGGGATTGCTGAGTGCAGACAAAATGAAAACTTCTCTGGGTCTAGGGAGATTTATTCTTGAGGACATTCCTCGCACCGGAGTTAGATTCCGTGGACAAAGGGGTATTACTCTTTCATCAGTGTTCTCTCATGCCAATTTTAGAAAGCCCATTTGGGCTGGGCACAATGGCTCATGCCTGTAATCTCAGCACTTTGGGAGGCAGAGGTGGGCTTATCACCTAAGGTCAGGAGTTCAAGACCAGCCTGGCCAACATGGTGAAACCCTGTCTCTACTGAAAATACAAAATTACCCAGGCGTGGTGGCACGTGTCTGTAATTTCAGCTACTTGGGAGGCTGAGGCAGGAGCATCAGTTGAACCCAGGAGGCAGAGGTTGCAGTGAGCTGAGTTTGCGCCATTGCACTGCAGCCTGGTAAACAAAAGCAAAACTCCATCTCAAAAAAAAAAAAAAAAGAAGAAAAAAGCCCATTTGAAGGCTGAGATATCATCTACTTTGAACCCCTAGGACTCCTAAGTGTATACTTCTTAGCCAGTTTCAGCTCTAGCGACAGGCAGGAATTTCAAGTGAGGAATATGATGAAGGCAAACTGTAACATTGCCACTTTAGGTCTTTCTGCCTCTGTCATCAACATTTACAGATGGGGGCCTTAACTAGGCATTTTCTGATGCTTGTAAAATTAATTACTAGCATTATAGCCATATATATTTGAAACAAATATCATGCTGTCTGCATACTGAGAAAAGCATTAAATACAAAGTAGACCCAGCTACCACAAAAGTCGCTGAACACATCTGATGGGTCAGTTGTGTCCTGATAGATCCCAGGGTGATTTACCTGTGATCCACGGATGGCTAATAAGATGACCTGGTTTCCCTTACCACTGTGCATACACACATCCTGAGACGGACCATGAAGTTTAAGAAGATTTTCAGGGCAGAGACTATTCTTTGCTGAAAATATGTAAGCACACCCACTGGAGAAAGGTAAAAAGGCAGGGAAATTAGACTCTCTTCAGCTCTGACTCGGAACAGGTTAAGGCAAAAACTAGGAATATGGTGGATACATGTTGACTTATTATATAGCAGTTACCCAAAGGGGGCTGATATATAATAGATGAGTGAATACTCAATGCTGATCCAAGGAATTCACAGCACTGGAATTGCTAGGAGGGATGCTTGCGAACAGAAACAATCAGCCCTCTACCCTGACGCCCCACAATCTGGATTCAGTAACATGGTGTATATGGGGTTGCAGCGGGTATGTTAGGGGGTGAGGCCCAGTTACTTTTTTTTTTTTAAAGCACCTCTAGTGATTGTGATACCCAAAGAAGTTTGAGAACTAATGTGCTAAATCACTGAATGCTCTCAAACACAGGTGCTATTTCTGAAGAACATTCATTTAATAGATTTACTCAGATTCTGGGTCTTATTTTTACCTTTGAGGGAACCAAAAGAAGATACGGTTTTAAATAAAACATAATTCCATTAACAACACTTGAACTATTACTTGCTTCTTAAACTTCAGAAGCTGATCAAGGTAACTCTGGAATAACTATTCTATACAACACCTCTGGAAATGATTAGAAATCTTGCTTTCTGGTGTTGCAGATCACAATCATTGGTGTAATATACACTTATGAATGTGAATTTCCAAAGACAAGAACCTGAGGTACTTACATTAAAATCTGAAATTAATCAGGATCCTTTGCCACTACTACCCTTACTATCCTATCCAGAAAGTAACAGGTGTTCAGTTATTTTCAATACAATTGCTGTGTCTGATTACACCATGTTCTTAAAAGATTTCCTAACACAAGACTTACCTACCTTTCGCTGATTCATCAATGATTTCAAAGGTTGAACTACAATTTTTACTAACTTTTATGAGGCTTACCACTACCTCCTTTGCCACACCAGCATATTTTGCCAAATGCCCCCAACATAGCCACCAGGCAAGAAACCTTCAGGGTGATTATGTGTGTGCTTTTTTTTTTTTTAATAGTATCATTCATTTGTACAGAGAAATCATTTGGATGGATCTATTTACAGTCTTTTCTGATTATCATTTCCACTGGCCAAATATATTTCACAGAATAGTCAACACTGACTTGAATTGATCACCATTATAATCGGGCTTTTACTCCTCCTCCCCCCTTTCAAAGATGATGATCCCATTTTAACAGAAACATTTTGTAATAAAAGATTCACCAGTCTTTTTCCATCTTATGACTAAATCCACGAAAATTTATCTAATATGGTCAAATTTTTAACACATTTCATTGTTTCTTTTCAAACTCATTATTTGCAGGTATTGCAAACCAAGGCAAATAAGTCCACGTCCCCTCGAGCCTTCTACAACTTACTACACGCCCTCAAGTTGAGCTTCTCCTATCTCCTTTCACACTTGTGAAATGTCTGGCACAACCAGACATTTTACTTGAAGACAAAACTACTCTCTTTTCCTCTCTTTTTCTTTTAACTCACTACCAATCACCTTCCCTCTTGCATTTCAGACAACACTAAAACTTTCAACAAAATCTTTGAAGTGGTTTTCTTTCAGTAGTCTAGAATACATCAAGCCATTTCATGGGTCTTTACCCTGAAATGCTACACTTTAAAAATGGCAATTTTCTTAATTGGCTCAAAAACAGTATGGCTTGGTTTCACTTGGTAAAATTAATGTGATTTAAAAATATATATATATATACACACACACACACACATACACACACATTTTTAATCAGGAAGAAAAATACTTTAAAGACATGCCAATTTGAAAAGGCATCAAAGTAAAAAAATAAAAGCAAATGCTAAAAACTACTTTACAATAAAAAAATTAAATAATCGGCAGGTTAAATGAATGTAAAATGAGGAATGTACAGTGAAAAACAAACTAATATAAAGCATTCCAGTTGATAAAAACCTCCTCAGGCTTATGGTTTGTTTTCCAAGGAAATTATGTTTCAATGTAAAGTTTGAAATACTCCAGACATACATTCCATGTAGGTTTTGGGTGCCAATGTTAAAATTTCAAATTTTGCATGCAAGGCTTAGCAAAGAAACACTGGCAGAATTCCAGCATTTGCAAAATTCTAAGTTTTGGTGAATATTGTAAATATTACAATTGGTATTAGAAAGCCATGATGAATCCAGAATTAAGAGAAAACCCATTTCATAAATATTTTGTTTGATTAAAAAATACCAGGCTTACCATGTTCTAAATAATTCAAGAAAATATCTTTAAAAAAAAAAGGACTGCAATTTAACAGTAATCTGTATATCTTTAGCTGCCATTAAAAAAAGAAAAAAGAACAACCAAAAACAATGAAAATGTTACAACTGGTATAAAGTAACCCTATGATGCTCCCCTTACGAGAAAACAAAACTGTACACATTTATAAACAAACAGTCTCTCCCATCAGTTAACACACAGAGCCTTCTCTACACCAAAGTCTCTTTCCGTTTGCCACCAGAAAGGGCTTTGTCCCTCGCTCTTCGGATGCCGGGCTGTGTCTGGTGTGTCTTTAAGCTCTTGCTGTCCTCTGCCATCTGCATGCCAGAGCCACATCTGTAAGCGTTTTCATCAACTTCTACCTGAGTAACACTGGAAACTGTGGATGCCCTCCTCTGGGCTGTGAGTTTCCTCGCAGAGGGGTGGTTCCCCTCACACTCTTCGTGCAGCTCCGGCAGGCCCTGCAGCTCAGGTGGACTGCCTGCCGACTGGAAGGGGGCAATGGCCGCTCGAATACAGTTGAACCACTGCTGCTTGTGGAACACGTCATTGGCTTGCAGAGTGTGAGACTGGGCTGGAGAGGGGTCATGGAAGCGAATTCTAAAGATATTTTTAGCTGAAAAAAAAAATTGGAAAAAAAAAAGAAATCAGGCTAAAAAAAGGTTTATTCTAGACAAAGTGGTCATACAATCTTAACGTGACTGTCAATTTATGGCAATTTATTTATGTCAATGTGAATACATTAAGCCTATGCATTATTTCTTAGATACACCTGCGGGTGTTCGAGCTGGGAAGGCCTGGACAACTCAATGGATGTAACAAGTATAGGACAATGGAGCCATTTCATCTCTAGAATTCTTAAAGGCAAAACTAAATTCACTTCAGTTCTGAGCTTCTATTTCTTTAAATTATTGAAGGCCTGCATTTTACCTTTCTCTGAGTTACTGAAAGCTCCTCGAAAGGAGCCTCCCATTCTCACATCTCCATCCTGCAGGTCTTCTAGGACTAGCTCTTGGACTGGGATTGGCTGCCGGTAAACCTGGTAAGAGTGCCGTTCGTTCCGTGTGACGGGCCGAGTCAGAACCAAGATGTCTTGAAACAGGAAAATGTAAAGTTTCTGGAGAAATGGGAAACAAACGCTAAATAGGAAACTTGTGTTTTTAAGTGACTGAAATATATTGCTAAAATAACTCGACATTATTAATTTCATCAGATTTATTTTTCGAAGATCTCTCTAAGTGACAAATCTAGTAATCCATAAAGATGGCAATTTCAAGGCTAAGCATGTTCTATTTGGAAAGTTTTTCCAATCTCAGAATAAATAAAATGTTTCTTATTGGTATGTAATATCAGATTAAGCAGCAGCTAAGTGAATGCTCTGCATCACAAAGACCTATTAGTAGCAACATGACTTGAAACACTAGCGTTGTATACCACAGTTTTCTAACACGAAGGAGGGATTAAAAATGCAAGCTGGTAAAATGTTAATGGTTCTATTTTGTCCCACACAAATTTATACCTTTATAAATTTTCCCCTCGTGAGGGAAAAATCAAAGATGTCAGATTTCAAATTTTTTTAAACAAAACTCCAACTTATAAATTGGGCTTTTGAAAATGCATGATGAAACAAAAATACCATTCCGTGACTGCACTTAGTTCTAGCAGGTACTTTTATAATTAGCATTTAAAAAATACATTTGCATTCATTCAATCTGCTTCAGAAATTTGTTATGTAGTGCGAAAAACCACTTTCATAAGCATAAGATAAACTCTTAGAAGTTTTTTTTGAAGGATGCTTTTTTATTAAGCATTATGGAACTAATACTGTATTTAGACAGGAACCCCTGGCCTAACAAGTTGATTTATGCTTCGAAACTAAAAAATAAAGTATTACTGATTCTCCACTGAGACATTTAAGGTATCTTCTTTGTTGGCTTTATCAAGCTGGTAATATAAAATTAAAATTGGCAACCTTCTTTTACTATGTCATGACTTTCCCTTTACAAGCCTGCTTCATAACAAACGTGTAAAAGTTAAAGAGGCAGGAGGGAAGGCTGCTCTGCCACGGCAGCAAAAGTCACCTACATGTCCACTCTTGCTCCGCAGCTCCCCATGGCACAGCAGCACTTTGCTCGCTTCGATTCTGGGGTCCCTCTGCTTTTCATCCAGGTACTCCAGCTTGTCGATGTAATACTGGCACTCGGATTCACCTTTCTTCAAGTTGATATCAGAGAGGACTCCCTGTATTATCAATATCTGAAAATGATAAATAAAATTGACAGAGCAGCTTCAGTTTATTAACTCATTCTGCTTCCTGCAGAGCAAAAATGTCATATGGAATGGAAGAACTTTAAAGCTTGAAGGGACTCTAGAAATCAGTTAATTCTGCCAGTCTGTTCATTTTATAGATCAAGAAACAGTCCTAGCCAAATTGAGTGATTTGTTCAAAGGTGACAAGGTGAGATCAGATGAGAATCCTGTCCCTTAAGATACAAAATGTGCGAAGTCCAGCATACACAGCTCCTTATTGCTTAGTGCACAGCGTACTAACGCACTGGGTACTTAAAACAACAAAACAATTCACTATGCTGATGTGAATCAGCATCTTCAGAAGATAACGTTCTAAAGCAGCCTAATGTATAAACTTAAAAAACAAAACAATCACTTAAGGGACTACTTACAGCATCCTCCAGAAGCTGAACATCAGGGTGCTCTTTTGGAGTGTGTTTAAGAATTTCTTTTAACAGTAAAGGGTATTTGACTAGGCGACTTCGAGGGATATCTAGGAAACTCCAAAGATCTAGTTTTCGACTGAAGGGAGACTCGAGACATCGCTGGAGGAAGTCTTGGACTCTTGGATCCTGTTTCTTTTGATCAAGAAGAGCTTTGGCTGCCAGCTGGTTACTACAGTAACCTCTGTAGGCATTCAAGCGCGGTAACTGAAGAGTAATAAAAGAAAAGGTATGATGTGTTCCTGTTATGACCGAGTGCATTAACAAGCCTGCAAACATGAAACACAAAATGTACAGCTATTCTTGAGAGTTTTAACAAGCTGTGGACATTTTCTGGCAGATAATAATGGAAGCTGAATAGCATTTTAGCAATCATCAAAATGCTCTTCAAATTTTCATAATTTGGCTAAATCCAAGTGAAGATTCATGACTTCTACTCCCCTCCAACCTCAGACACTGGCAGTCTGTGCTCCCAGGACACTTGAGTGTCCTCCATTTGCCACCAGCCCTGAGACTGTTTATGTGCTTGGCTATTCCTTCACTAGGCTATAAAGGCAGAGACTGCCTTTCATCACTGACTCCCAGCGACTCCTCCTCAAACAGTGCCCCGCATTTGGCATGCGCTTAAACATACATGACAGAATGCAACGGATAATCACACATGATGTGGGAATTCTATCCAAGCAGGAACGTATTTGTAACACAAATGAACCTATAGCATTAATGAAGGTGTTTTTTTTTTTTTTTAAACAGACTGTAACTTCTTATGTCACTGTAAATTTGTTCAGTTTTAACGCCTTATGTGTTTGTAGAACAGAGTTGTGGGATCAAATCTGTCTCATATTCATCAGAAACTGCAACATGGCACATCTGTAAGAAACTGTATCTGGGGTCAACAACTCACTACATACCCAGCTCACGAGAATGTGACCAATCTGCTCCACTGTTCCATCAGGCTTGGTTGCTTCTCCTATTCTTGTCAACAAATCTGAAGTGATAAAAAAGCATAAACACCATTAACAGGTTTATTTAAAAAATAGGTCAGCACTACATTAGAAGTTTAGACTGAAAATTACATGCACCGCTGCTCTTTAGATTTAATGACAATTAAGTGGCACATCTAACCTTCATGCAGAGGTATGTAAGAGTCCAGATCACCAAATATATGTGTGAGTTCCTCTTCTGACATGATGGACAACTTTAACATGGGGTCATGATAGGCCTGTCAGAGGGGAGAAATGTGTCACAGAGAGATCATGTGAGGAAAACATGAGGGATCTATACTTGGAAACAAAGAGAATTAATTACATAAAAGCTAGCGTGGATTCTGTTTGCTACACATAAAATAAATTAGTATGTATTAATCCCCAAATAAACTCTCTTACTAATACTTGTATTTGAGGATGTGTCTAGACCTCACCTAAAAAAAATGTATTCACCAGTAGATATTTTCTATTCTTCTACTTCTAAAGGTTAAGAAAACTATCCTTTAGATTTTGTGAAATGTAATTTTTAAAAACTAGGGCATCTGATAAAAAGTTATTTACTGACCTTTCTTGCAAGTTTGAGATCCTCAATTAAATCCTGTTCACCTCGGGACATTTCATATATTGCCTAAAAACATCCAGCAAACATCAGAGGTCATTCCTTCGAGAAAGGAAAATTATATACAACTGATAATTACATTATTTGATGTTTTGAACGGCATTTTAAAAAGTAACTCAGTCTGAAAATTGTAATTCAGAATGGAATCTCAAATACAAGGTTGCCGTATGTTTGGTAAGTTTACCCTATTAGAGTTGTTTAATTTGACCACCATCCATCATTAGGTTTTGTTCACCATGTATTAGGAATTGTTGCTCAAACACAAAAATCCAAGTTAATTTTGCCATCGGCATCAATTTGCTGTTCTTTTGGGAAAACATGTACACTGAGTGCCAGCATACCTCCTGCCGTCTGATCTCCCTGGTGGTGAGAGACTCCTTCATGGTGATGTCCAGCATCTCTGACCACAGTGCACTGCTCCTTCTCTTGGCGGGTGTTGGGACTGTTGACCTGCTAGAAAACTTCTGGGCAGAGGCTGGGGATCTGTGGTCACCACGAAGGGTAAATGACTTAAAAAAGAAAAGGTGAACAAAAGAGAAAATAAGATTTGGAAGAAATAGAATTATTCCCATTTTCTTTTTTTTTAAAGTGAAGAAAGACAAAGTTCTGAGAATTTCTCAATGCAGAAAACAATAATTTATCCAAGTTTCCACCTACCAATCTTAAATATTTATCAGCTAAAATTACATTTTTGGGAATAAAAACTAGCCAAGACTATGCATTATAAGATGCAAATTAATATAAGATGCAAATTAATATAATGAGGCTACACATTGTTCTGGAACAATATTCCTTACTAGCATATTCCAAAAAGAAAACTATGTTTAAATATAATAATGCAAACTTGTTTGTACAGCTCAAAGACAACTACAAATTCCAGGCTTCTATAAAGTCCGCTGACTACATTACTCTTCCTCCTCTCTTTTTACCTGTATTGTTTGACCAAAACGTCTGACAGCTCCATTTCTTACAGGAGAGATTAAATTTGCCAAGGACGTGACACGAGCCAGAGGTCGAACTCTTTTATTGCTTGGCTCCTATAAAAACAAACCAGATGACACTAAATATATGTCTAGGTGCAATGATTTCATACAAACTTGGACAAAGTAAAGCCCTCTCACAAAACAATTTTTGTACATTATAAAATACAGAAACATGAAAGTAAGAGTTGTTCTTCATTGTCAAAACAATAAGAACTCTATTGAGTAGCAGTAACTTTTCAAAAAATAAGTGTGTAAGAAAGGCCAGTCAAATATTTCCAATAGGGGAAAAAATTAAAATTCAAACAAGGAAATTACATCCTAAAATCTAATGAACTTTTCAGTTTAATGCAGGGAATAACTTTTTTTTTTTTTAAAAAAAAGCCTTATTGTTATGAAAATTTTCGAACATACATGAAAGTGGAGAATGGCATAATGGATCCCATGTGTCTATCGAGGGGCCTCCACAGTGTCTGGTATAACAATTTGTTTCATTTTTGTCCCTACTTAAATGTTTTAAAGCAAATCTCAGACATTGTATCATTTCATTCTTAACTACTTCCGTTAGAAAATACAACCTTTCAATCAACATGTCTGACACTGGAATGGGCTGAAAAATATTGAAGCCAAGGCAGGGAGGAGTTAAAAGAGCACCCAGGCTCTGAAATCTGACTGGGCACAAATCCCGGCTCTACCACTTGCTAGGGCACACCCTTGGCATCAGTTTTCTCATCTATAAAATGGGGCTAAAAGTAGCACTTCTCTTATGAAGTTGTTGTGAAGATTAAATGAATAATATGGCTTGAAACAGTGCCTGGCACATACTCAGTTTGAGCTATTACTAACAGATTTTAGGAATATTTCCATTTACTACATAAACACTGGGATTCATAGATAAATTAGATCCTCTCTCAAACAGTAATTTATTAACTTAAAGGAAAGATATATACAAATCGAGAAGAAATAGTTATGATTCTACATGTTATTGCTTTTAAATAATAATATAGCAAACACATCACTTATTCAAGGATTTTGAAACTTTACAAAAATTGCATTATTCTAATTTTATCGCTAGAAAAATGGAGGCATACCAGTAGGTGACTCACACAGTTACTGAAATGAAGAATGCCAGATCATAAAACTAGCAGGTCTATTCTTTATGTCTATGGAGCATAACTATTTGTATTTTGTGCTTCTGACAATTGTGGCATACTTGACAAAATAATTTTGATGAGAATCCAGGAGGATATATAATTTAAAATTATATTAAAATTATCACTGAAAAATAAGACATCATTTAAAAATAACAGAAGAAGCAACTTTTTCTAAAAATTCTTTGACATGACTAAAGTAATATAAAAAGGAAGGGGTGTAGAAAATGAGTAAAAATAATGCCTTTAAACAACTGAAGACTATATTGACCATTTTTGGTTTGGGTAAAAAAAAATTTTTTTTAATTAATTATTTAAGAATAAACTGATAGGAAAAGTTAACATTATTTGGAAAGAAATGTAAATAATTTGAATATCCAAAGAAACAATTAGACTCATTAAAGCTCCTAAATGTATACATATGTATCAGAAAGGAATGTGAACTATTAAGGAAACTTGGTAGATAATGAAAGAATTTGGAAATCTGAAGGCTTTAAGAGGCAGAGTTGTAGATCAACCCCTCATACCAAATAATCAACTCCAAAGTAAAACTTTGAATATAAACTAACTGCAAAAGAAACCTTCGCGATATGTAATAAGATGGCACACGCTGTGCTTCTGAGGACATGTGTGGATGCCTCCCCCACGTACATCTGTGCTGACTGACTGACACACGCGTGTGCAGGGGCCAGCACAGGCATTCCTTTCCATTTAGTAAAGACAGCACAAAGAGTCTCCTGTTGGACTGAAGATAGAATTACCTCACAGAGTAAGAAATGCCGACATTTCACTGGAACAAAGCAGTTGTCAGAAAGTTCTGTTCCGCTTTTTGGGAACAGAGGTTAACTCCTCTTCCTTGTTTCATGCATAACAAATTTGACTTCCCAGAAAATATAATATTTAATTTCAACTTAAAAGGTCTTTGGAAAGGTGCTTTTCCCAGTGAATATGAAAGGAAAATTTTGTTAGCAGGAAATAAATTTTTGATATCTATTTTATCACATAAAATCAAATTAATGATAAAAATTTATTATCTTTATAGGACCAGTTACTGTACAACTACTAACTTCCTGGTAACTCAAAATTATGTGATATTTTAAAACTACAGAATTTAGATTTAGATAAGTGAATGTAAATATATCTAAAGCATACTTCTGAAACGAACACGGGTTTTGTTGATGTGGTCTCTTTAGGGTGGCAGCATATTATGCCAAGTGGTATTTGGTGGTTAAATATGTTCCACAGTCCTTTAAAAATCCAACTATAATCCCACTTCTCCACAAAGGAAATGCTGCTTTTCAGAGTTTATCAAATCTAGGATGTCTTGGGAAGTATGATGCTTACTCAGGAAATACAGGTTGGGAGAGGGAGAGAAAGGAGGAGGGCACTTTGCACTTTTTCACATGCTTTTGGGGATGATGGTGGATAACTTTCCTGCCTCACTCAAAGGACATACATGAAGAATGTTTGGCAAATACAAAACAAACTTTTAGTATATATATTTTAAAAGTATGAACAATTTTAATGACTAAAATAACGAAAAGTGTGATTATGAAATGTAAAGGTATAATGCTGCTACTAATTTCAGGATACATATACTATTTGAAAACAGACTCATACATGAAACTTCTGTGGAAAAGTGACATGGTTTAGGCATTCACAGGCCACCTAAAAGATTGGGACAAAAATTTGTGTCTTTCGGAATACACGTCAGAAATTGGCCCATGTGAGCCGAAACCAAAAGTAGTTTTCTTTAGAGGTCCACATGAACTATCTTAATAATCTTGATTTGACTATTAAGAACCTAAATATTTGCAGTCACAAAACAGATTCCTAATACAATATTTAGATAGGCCAGACACAGCATTTGGAGGTGATGAAGGGGGAGTGGAACAGGCGCTTTCTATCTCACCACCACCAAATGGAAGGCACCCATAGTTCCACTGCTAGGATTGTTTATTTTTTACTTTGGAGTCCTGGAAACACGTTATGGCAAATTCAAGAAGCTTAAAGAACAGATACGAATACTGGAACCTTACTCTCCTCAAAAAAAAAAAAAAAAATCCAAAAATCCATGGGAATAAACAAAAAAATGCCAACAAGCTTTACATGCTCAATGAATTTTCTGCTGCAGGGAACCTTTCACCAGGGCTAAAGTTCACTTGGAGGGAAAAAAAGTCCAACACTCTCTAACATAAGTTTATGTTGTCAATTTAGGTTAATTTTTAATCAGACTAGGTTAGCCAGGCAGTCACATACATTATTATAGGCAATCTGTCCACAGATCAGGGTATTAATTAATGTTAGTAATCCACTTGTAGTTAGATTTTATGCCTTAAAAATTTCTCGACATCTATAAACAGAAAATTGTTGAGAATAAGTTAAAGTATTTTTCAGGTTATGCCTTACAGCTAACTGCAACGACATGGAAAAATCCTGTTGAGAAGTCAGCATTCTGTAGAAAGGCTTTTTCTTCTAATGATGCCAGTTAGAGAACATATTTTAGGAGGGTCTCTTCTATAACCAATCATATCAAGACACTGAATAAAAAAAATAGTATGCACCTGGGTCTATTCCTTTGGGTTATAATAGTTAAATAATCTTCTCTTAAAATCTTTAGCAAAACTTTAAAATCAAAAGAAAATAAAAGTTATTTTTAAAAAGATAAAAACGAGTTATGATCACATGGGATGAATTCCTTTTCTAGAAATACTCAAATTATTTAGAGCTGTGTCACTAGATCTAAAACCGTGACAACATTCCTAGTGCTTGTAACTTAGAAATAAAGGTAAGGCAGAAACACAGCCCATGCTGATACTAAACAAAGGCCAGCTTCTATGGGCCCAACAGATGATAAGCTGCAGGATTCACACTAGTGACTGTGGATGACTGCTCTACTCAAAGGAAATACTTACACATTTTGAGAAAACCGACACATAGGCAAAGACCAAAACCAAGAACAAAAACCAAAGCCAAACCACACCAAATAAAAGTGTACTTCCTGAAGACGGCAGCTATTTTAACTACCAAAAGGTGTGTGTATGTGTACACATGACAAGCAACTTTGCTGGGGTATTCAGTAAGCTTTACATATTTAAAATGCACAATTAGATAAGTTTTGACGTGTGTATAGAGACGGAAACCACTACCACAATCAAGAGATACACAGTTAACTGAATGCAGGAACACTATTCCTAGCATATAAGTGACAATGTAGTATATATTAAAGTATATAGTATAAACAGAATATCACACAATGTTAAATCAAGATTACATAAAATGGCATAAAGTAATTTGATTTATATTGATAAATGTTCATAAAGACTAAAAAAAGACTCAGACAAAGCAAGGAGGGTAAAAATAATGAGTCACTGGTTTAAATATTCTAACATGCCTCTTTCCTTCTGAAGAAAAAAGTGGCATACAATGAACTCATCAGATGGAAGAAAAATGCACACCAGGTCAGACTAAACTTTAGTTGCAATTTGTTCACTAGCATTGATTTACAAGAACGGGATTCTTTTCCTCTTGCTCCATTAAGGTAGTTTCTAAGACTGGATGATATCAATTCAAGTTAAAAAAACAATTATATTAAGCATCAGAAATGTGACAAACGTAACCCGAGTAACATATACATTTAAAATCTTTTCCTTTTTTATAAAAGCTGTGTACACTCAAGCTATGCTATGTATAAACTATTTAAACTTAGACCACAGTCCCTAAACACATTTCAAGCTTGCACATAAATCAAGAACATACATTGTAATAATAAGATCAAAAGTTTAAAATTATACTGTTAATACCTTGTTAAAAATTTTAAAAGCTCCGTGGAGTTAGAAAACATTCCTTTTGCCTAACGTTTCTCTTAAAGTCTTACCTCTTGTTCTCTGAAGGACTGGTTATTGACATCTAGGACTCGTATGGTCCTTTTAATAGGTAGGAGACCTCCAGTCTCATCATGTGCCACCATGCTTCCCAAGTACTCCCTCAAACCTTTCCAATCAATCCACACCGAGTCAGCGCTGTAGCGACGCTATGCAGAGGCACACGGGCTTTTCTTCCCAGAGCTCGGCCACCCTCGGCAGCCACGTGCCCATGCCTCTCGCCGCGGTGGAGCAGAGGCTTCTGAGAGCCGCAGGCAGCAAGCACCGACCCCAGGGCTCGGGGGCGGGGCCACAGCCAACCGGGCCCTGGGGGCGGGGTCCACCACCACGTGACTTCAGTTAACTGAGAGCTGGGCACACCTAGGCCTCTCAGCTTTCGCCCAGGAGGAGAGTGAAGCTGGGTTCAAGTAGGACAGAAACTTCTCTTCCTGATTTAAAATGCATTCCCGAAGTAAAACAAATTGTTACGTTATCTACTCTGGTGCTTAGTCACAGACAGGCAGACTTTTCCCATAAAACCCTATTGCATGGGAATAAGTTCAGTATGGACAACTTGACAACTCAAATAAGGAAATAGAAATTCTTATTCGATAGGGCTGAATCAACATATATAATGAAGAAAAGCCTAATTTTCCAGGAAACCTGCTTTTATTTTACAGAAGTGCAAGCATATTCACAATTATAAAATAGATTATCTAAGTCTTTAAATAGTTCCCACTTTTTCTTAAGACTAGCAGGGTAAATACAGCAGGTGCACTTCTGTTACCTCTCTTCCAGAAGAAAATCTCCCATGAGGTTACGGGTAAACTGGGCTACTTCAGATTTCAAAATTCAGTATTTCTTAGAGGTAGATATTTTTTCTGGATCTTTTTAAAAACTTGATTATCTGTGTACTAGATATTTTATAACAAAGGTGATTTCTGTTCTCTATATTGTATACATAGTATGTAATTGTGTATATATTATATATAAGTGTATAATATAACAGGGTCCTTCTCTAGACTGAATTAACTGATCTTGATATAGCTCGAACAGGGTCAAAAGACTGCTTAAAAAGTCTTGCATTTTACAGGTGAAGAAATGAGGCTAACAGAGGTGAAGTGACAATAATGACAGTGACCAGTGACAGTCTCCAAATTTCTAGCCTAAGTCTTTTCCTCTATGGAACAACACTACTTTTGTTGGCTTGGCAGGCCTGCTGTGAAGCAGATTTCCTTTTAAACACAAAATTCGTTATTCTATTTGGAATGGTAAAATTTTACACTATAAACTACTATAATATGATGGTAGTATGTTGGAAAAATATTTCTAGTCTGAGGATTTATAGAATCAGATAAATCTATTATATAAAAGTCACTATTCTAGATACTTGGGTAATAAAAAAAAATAGGCTTCATATCTGCTAAAGAGACCATTGTGTAAAGGTAGGCCACATGAAGAGATAACAGAAGATAGCTTTTGCAAATTCAAAACTAAGGTGTGTAGCTAATAAGTGCTACAGGAGTTCTGGAAGAGAAACCACTTCAGGTAGTTTTCTAAGCTAAGACACGGCTGGGAACAATGCCAGGAAGAGGTTTAAGATGTTATGTCTGTGCGGCCTTGAATGTAATATTTTTCATAGATTTGAACAAGAGAAAATTTCAAGGAGGACAAGGGAGTGAGCCCACACTGAGATCACGGGCTGTGCGTAAAGATGGAACAGATGGATGTACTCAATAGGTGAGAGAGATAATGAGAGCTATGTTGTAATAAGATATATGTGACTGGTGTTTAAGATGGTTGAAAGATGACTGAAAACATCATGCAAAAATCACAGTCGGGCAACAAGAACTTTGCCTAAAGTAGGACCAGTAGGGAAGAAGGAAAAGGATATAAGCAAGAAGTCACAGACGCCTACAATTCTTTAAATAGGAGGGGTAACTGTTAGTGCAAATCAAGAAATAAGAAGGAACAAGCTTTGAAAGAAAATTCTAAGTTACATTTTAGATATACTGAGTGTGAGGCGGTGGAAGAACATGCAAATGAAAATATTCTGCTGGTAGTTGGAAATGTTGGACAAAAACCTGAAAGAGGCTGGAGGCTAGATTTAGACTGGAGAGTCAGATACAGAGATAAAAATCGAAGCTATGGGAGTGAATGAGATGACTGGGAGAGAAAATTTGGACAAAAAGAACATGGTCCAAGGATCTAACTTTGGAGGAAAGCCAAGGGAAGGAAAATTCTGCAAAAGGAATAGTTAGAAGGAAAGAAACAAAGCAAAAGCCAAGGGAAGAAAAAAATGTTAATTACAGCAAAGAGGTTAAGGAGGGTATGAAAAAAGCCACGGATTTAGTGATTACAAGTTTAATGAGGATCTCAAGTGTGCTATTTCAGTGGAGTAAAGACAGAGGCAAATTACAGGGGCTGAAGAGTGAATACAGAAGAATAGTGGGTGCAGACTATTTATAAAGACAAATAATCTATAAAAAGTAATTGCCTAAGGTTTGCAGGAGAGTTGCTACTTCTTGCAGGAAGGACCACCACTGCCCTTCTGTAGCTATGTGTGTTTTATACACGAGATGTGGTAATAATTCATCTTTCTGCTTTGAGTTTATTTTTTAAAGTAATGGAGATTGGCTCTGTTTCATCATCTACTCTATTGTCCAGTCTGTCCTGGGCAGTATGTGTGATGTGGTTGGCCTTAAGAGTGGATGACTGTAGAAGATATTTCCATATAGCATGAAAGTAGAAGCACCTGAGCGATTGTGGACTCCTAATTTTACTCTTAATTTTAAGAACAGTGATCTACCTACATTCTCAGAGCTAATATGAACAGCCTAGGCTAGACCCCAGCAGTCTGGTTCAGTTAGCTTCATCAGTTAAAATATGGCGTAAGTAAGGCCAATACTTTACGGCCACATAGTTTCTAAGGGAATAAAGGATTATGTGCAGTGGGAGTTAGGAAAGAAGCAGCTAGGAGTTCTCCTGGGATTCTTACCCGATGTCTTTCTTGAAACTGTTTTTCCACTTAGTTCCAACAGAAATGAGCCAAGATAATGAGAAGGGGTATCTTTCATTCTCTCCTTCAGCTGGGGACCCAAGAGGTAAAGGTAGAAGTCTTTATATGTAAATACAGAAATAGAAAACAAATAGGGTATACTGATGACAGCCATGTTCACAAAAGCCCCAGCTCACCAACACTAAAATCTTAGTTTCATTTTGAATGTGCAGGTTTGGGGTCTAAATGTAGACAGCATCTAAAAAAGGAATGATGAACATGCGGAAGTTCAACTGGACTCAAGAATCTTGAGTCTTGTCACAATGCTGCATAAAACCAGAGGACTAAACAGGCCCTCTGAGATCATTCACCCATCCTCTTCAGTTTTCTCATAAGGAAACTTAATGGGTGGTGGTGAAAAATAGAAGAAAAATTTAAGGTCTTACTTTGTGCTAGAGTTCTATATGTTATTTAATCAACTCTATGAAGTACTTATTATCTCAATTACTTTGTGCTAGAGCTTTATACATGTTATCTTAATCAACTCTATGAAGTACTTATTATCTCAATTTTAGAGAAGGAGGAAACTAGGACTGACCAAGTTTAAGAAACTTGTCCAAAGGTACCTTGTTAATCAGTGGCTTAACAGACCTGATGACTCTGTTCTGCTCAGCTGTTGTGACACTGTCCAGATGAAGATAACCCATATAAAACCTTTAGCACATGTTCTGAGACACACTAGGTGCTCAGTATATGTTAGTGACCTAAGTTAACAGTAGACCTAAGTTTAAAACCAAAGTCTCCTGAGTCCCAGGCTAGCAGTATTCACTAAATTGCCAATACTTTTATAGAGGAGGAAACCATAAAAACGGTTGAGAGATTAGCTGCCTTATAGCCTTTTTATAACAAGACATGGGGTAGGTAAAAAGATAATAAAATAGTTCCAGTTGTGTAAGTTTAGAAGAGTTTTTTTCTTTCTTTCTTTTTTTTTTTTTTTAAAGACAGGGTCTTGCTCTGTTGTCCAGGCTGGAGTGCCATGGCACAATCTCAGCTCACTGCAACCTCTGCCTCCTGGATTCAAGTGATTCTCATGCCTCAGCCTCCCGAGTGTGCCATCACGCCTGGCTAATTTTTGTAATGTTAGTAGAGATGGGGTTTTACCATGTTGGCCAGGCTGGTCTCGAATTCCTGGTCTCAAGTGATCTGCCTGCCTTGGCCTCCCAAAGTGCTGGAATTACAGGTATGAGCCACCCTGCCTGGCCAACAGCAACTATTTGTATAACTTTCTACAAACGGCGTAACTGAGGCACAGATTGGTTAGCGTCTTTTCTTTCTATAGAACATCTAGAATTTATAAACGTAACTGAGTTATGTAAAGGTAAAGAGAAAGATGTTTCTCTTATGTATAGAAAAGGAGTGTTAGGTTACTTGTTCTCCCCTTTCAAGTGAAAAACTGCTTGGAATTTAGAAATAAATTAGAGCTTAGGAATAATCATTACTTTTTTTGGTCTAGGCATTATTATCTACTTTTACCTGGAACAATAACAAGCAATTGGAAATTAGACTAGGGAAGCCATACTACAGGCAAAGAGAAAACAAAATCTAAGCTCTCTGCTGCCCTCTACACGAGATATTGTGAAATGCAATTGTCAACCTGTTTTTCAACTTTGTAATTATATTTGTAACGACATTACATAGATGACTACATAAACAATCTCTTAATTTGTGGAAAAATATGACCAGTAAAATCTGTATTTTCAGTCTTTGTACAGCCTTCATGTCTTATATTACTAAATTAAACATATATTTTAAAATGATACAAGTATATGAAAAAGATTCCACAATTCACAAGAAATATTTTAAGAACTTTTTCTAAATATAAGAAAACTACATTCCATTTTAAAACTCTAGAATTCAAGATTACAAGCATATACTCTGTATCTCACTAAAAATAGGTTAGTTAAAAATAAAATTTTAAATCTTACTAAAAAGGAAGTATTAATTGAAAAGTGGAACTTTTGAAAAACCATAGTTCCAAAATATCTAGTAATAACTTAAAAACAAAAAGAGTTACATTTGAACTGGATAAGTACGAAAGAAATTAGTAATGAAGTTATATGTGATTTGAATCTCCAAGTTTAGTACTAAGAATTTGGTTTGGGGAAAAAACATCAGTTTAGACCAATTAAGTATTATTAGACACACTTTAAATAAAATAGTCTCATAGGCTAATAAGTTTGGTATTGTCAAAACAATGGTTCTTTTGTGCGATGACAACACAAATAGCCAATCAAATGGGGTATCAGCACTGTTAGTGGTGACTTTTTATCTCAGGTAACGAATAACTTCCAGTATAACGTAAGACCACTTAGTCTTCTGTAACAAGCTGTTGAATGGGATTCCTCCCATTTTTCCCTGAACTTCAGCTTAAGGCCCCAAACTAAAGACAAAAGGATATTGTGTCTTGTGCCCAGCCTCCTGTTTTCTCAGCCCAATTTGACATTGCCATAGCAACTGGCTCCCCACAGGAGTGACCCCACAGTCCCTTGCCTCAGCTGCACTGTGTATCTCTTGCCTTCCACCCTGGGCTTCTTGGATGCTGCTGTGTGGCACATGCACATGTGTAGCCACGGGTGTGTGGGATGGACACCCGAAAGGCCACTTGTTGACTAACGGAGCACAGAAGCTGCAGGATAAAAGCTCCCCTCTTCAGTCCGTTGAGAGGAGAAGTCTGTGGTGTGTTTTACACAGCTCTTCAGAGGGTTCCAGAGAGATCTACCCCACTGCCCACAGTAGTGACAGCTTAATTAGACACTGCACGGGCCTCCTCTCTTTCACTTCTCCAGCTTGTTCCCTGGGATCATACCTCAAGAAAGACACCTGTCAATGAGTCCTCGTTTTAGGCTCTGATTTCTGGAGGGAGAACCCAGGCTAAAATATGGACACTGAGATTGGTCCTAGAGATCAGAAACACAGGATGGGACTCTGAAACAGACTCACTCACTAGTAAAATGGTGATAAGGACTACAGGTATGAATAGGGATGAGACACAGAGTAGTGAGGCAATGCCTTACATAGTAGTGGTGGCAAATGAACAAGAGAGGGGCAGTGGTAATTGTAATGATTGTAGTGTTTACTGGCTTTGGCTAATTGCTTTAAAAGATTTGAAAAAGCAGCTGACAGAACTTTCATAATGTTCTCAGCACCATGGTGGGAATAGCTAAGTGGGAGTCCCTGAAATTTCACCCCTTACACCTGGGCCAAGATGGTAAGTCAGAAGCAGTATTGCACACCAGGAGAAAATGCAGAGATCAGCCATCAGAGTTACGGACTGCACAAGTGATAGTCTCCACTAGATCCTCATTCTGTTTATCTGAGTGCCTCTTACAATAATGAGGTGGACTGTGGTAAATGACAGTGGACCACTGTAAACTTAAGTGGTAGTTCCAACCTCAACTGTTGTGCAAGATGTAGAGTCTACTGGAGCAGACCAACAAATCATCTAGCATTTGTTACATGGTTATGGTTGTGGTTACTGATCTGGCCTATGTGTTCTTTTCAATCCTCATTAGTAAGAAGGGTCAAAAGTAGTTTGCTTTTAGGTGGGAAGGACAGCAGCCTGTGATTGCTCACGTCCTGAAGCTGTTCACTTTGTTTTCTGTCACAAAGTCGGCAAGGACCGGATATTTCACAGAACATCATACAGGCCCACTGTATTAATAACATTATACCAAAAAGACCTGGTGAATAGGAAGTGGAAAGTATTTTGGATATCCCAGTAAATCAAACGCATGCCACAAAAATTCAGAGGTTGCCATGTTGGAAAAGTTTTAATAGATCCAACGGCCTGAGGCTTTCTGGGATCTCCCCGCTACAGGAAAGGACAGGTGTTGCACCTTGCATCTTCTAGGCACAGTGCTAGCAGGACTCTTCATCTTTTGGAGGCAGTATCTGCTATATTTGGGAATGTTGCTGTGATAGTTTTGAGTAGGTCCCAGAGCAACAGAGGTCTCTGTAGCAGGTCCTCCAGGCTGTGGTGCAAACTGCCCTGCTGTTCAGGCCATGTGACCTGGTATATCACATCAAGGTTGGGTATTTATGGTAGACAAAGATGCTGTGTGATGCTCTGGCAAGGCCAGGAAGAGAACTGCAATGCAGAGCCTTAGGGTTCCAGAGCAAAGCTCTGCTTTCCACAGCAGAAAATGACTCCGGTTTGAAAAGCAGCCCCAGGTGTGGGGCAGACCTAGTTAGAGTGAGGCCCTGGCTACAGGACATCATTTAACTGTGCGATCAGAGGTGCCCAAAACAAACAGGGTCACATCAACTGAGTCAGAAGGTTGGGAGGTACAGCAGCCATCTGTTATACAAAGGAAATGGTCCATTTGTGATTGGCTTAAGGAAGACCAAAGGGCATCAGTATATAACATGAACAGATGGCCCAGACTGCCATGTAACCTAGTACATTACACTGGTACTTCTCTTTCAACTCTTCATCTAGGGGTGGAGTAGGTCTCTAAAACCACTAAGAGAAAAATTTGGCCCTCATTCACACATGAATTAGCTTCATATGTTGGTATGAGCAGAAAATGGACCACTATTGCACTGCATCCCATTCAGGGGTAATCCTAAAGAGAGCGGCAAAGGAGAACACTCCAGTGTCAGTAATGCACTTGGTTGTTCACTCTGTGTGAAGGGAGAAATGGCATGACATACAGATATACACAGGCTCCTGAGCAGTGGCAAATGGGTTGGCTGATTGGTCAGGAGCTTGGAAGGAACCAAGATTGAAAAGGTAGAAATCAATTTTGGAGAAGAGGCATATGGATGGGCCTATGAGAATGGCCACAAAGTGGAAGGAGCCTTGTCTCTCATGTTAATGCTTACTGAAGACTCTAAGGTGCTAGTGATTTACGTTGTGGATTCCAGTGCTGGTGCAATAGACCCATGAGCACAGGAGCCATGATGGCAGGCATGAAGGTTCAGTGTGCTCCAGCAGCAGGGGCGCTCTTTTACCAAGGCTGGTTTAGTCACTGCCACTGGTGAATGCCTAACCTGCCAGCAGCTGAGAAATGGTGTTGGTCTATAGTTTTCTTTTCTTGTAGTGTTGGCTTTAGTTATCAGGATAATACTGATCTCTTAGAATGGCTTAGAAAGTATTCTATTTTCTTTGATTTTCTGAAAGAGTATGAGAAGGATTAATGTTAATTCTTTTCTAAATGTTTGGTAGAATTTACCAGTAAAGCCATCTTATTCAGAGCTTTTCTTTGTTGAGAGGTTTTTGATTACAGAGTCAATCTTTTTACTAGTTATAGGTTTAGTCAGATTTTCTCTCCATGATTCAGTCTTGGTAGATTGTGTGTTTCTAGGAATTTGTCCATTTCATCTAGATTATCCATTTGTTGGCATACAATTATTCACAGTACTTTTATTAATATTACCCTTTTTATTTCTGTACAATATGGTAGTAATAGCCCCACTTTCATTTCTCATTTTACTAATTTGAGTCTTCTCTCTTTTTTTCTTAGTCTACCTAAAGGTTTGTTAATTTTGTTAATCTTTCCAAAGAACCAAATTTTGGTTTTACTCTATTGTTTTTTGATTCTATATTTTATTTATCTCCACCGTTCTTAATGAATTTCCTTCCATTTGCCAGCTTTGGGTTAAGACTGCTTTTCTTTTTATTACCTCCTTAAGGAATAAAGTTGGGGTACTGATTTGAGATATTTCTTACTTTCTAATGTAAAGTGTTTACACCTGTAAGTTTCTCTCTCAGCAATGCTTTTGTTGCATTCCATAAGTTTTAGCATGTTGTGTTTTCATTTCCATTTGAAGGTATTTTCTAATTTCCTTTGTGATTTGTTTTGACTCATTGATTGTTTAATAATGTGTTGTTTAATTTCCACATACTTATAAATTTTTTAGATTTCCTTTTGTTACTGCTTTTTAGTTTCACTCTCTGTGTTAAAAAAATTAGTCTGTATGATTTCAGTCTTTATAAATGTATTAAGACTTGTTTTGCAGCCTGACATACCGTCTATCCTGGAATGTTCTACATGCACTTGAGAAAAATGTATAATCTACTGTTGTTGGGTGAAGGGCTCTGTATGTCTGTTAGGTCCATTTGGTCTGAGTGCTGTTTAAGTCTTCTACTTCCTTATTGATTTCCTGTCAGGTTATCTATCCCAATAGTTGGTTAAAAAAAAAAATACTAGGGAAAATACAGAGTTGAAAAGGGTACTCGGTTATGAATATTATCATAAACCGATAGAAAAGTATCAATTTGGCAAACATTTTGGAAGGCAAATAGACAATATTAACAAAACTAAAACTTGCAACCCACTTCTAAACATCTATAATAGAGACACAAACATGGTCCCTCCTTGTGCACCAGAAGGTAAAGTACAGCACTGTTTTTAATATGAAAAAAATTAGAAATATACAAAAATAGCCATTCTTAAAAGACTGGTTAAATAGATTATGGTACTTTAACACACTATGGAATACAATACAGCAACCAAGAAGAATTAGGGAGCCTGCTTTATATGTACCAATAAAACATAAATTAAAAAAAGCAAGCTATAGCATATATACAGGATAATCATATATCTGTAGTCATTACACATACTGTATGAAAATAGATAAATAAAAAGAAAACAATCTGGACAAACATCAAATAATAACTGGATACTTCAGAGGCTGAAGGCAGTAAAAGAGGTCTTTAAAAAAACGGTTTCAATTTTTTGCCAGAACAATGTATTCATGTATTAAAAAGGAGACATAAGTATTTAAATACATTGCAGTCTAGGAATGATTAAGCTTAAAGATAAGTAGCTCTGTATTGCTCAATGGCTTCTCAGAGCACTAATCAGCAATAATTGTTTTGTATTTAACTTTTATTTTTGGCCAAGAACACCATTTTCTTATATCAACACCTGAACCAGCAGTTGGCTTTCTTTTTTGGACCTCTGTCACAGCAAAACAATGTTTTATTATCTTATAAGGCAACCAGTAGAAATCATAGCTAAATCAAAGTGCAGGTGGAGGGCAACAGTAAGCTAGGTAAGTCACTAGGTTTCACATGCCAGCTAGCTTCACACTATTCAAATCTGTGCTTTGCAACATGATCAAATTACCTGTCATGGTTCTAAGAGGTTGTTTCTCAAAAGTGGTATTTGGAATGTTAAATCAGAAACTGCCAAGACATTATTATAATTATAAACAATCACAATGCTTTTAAAATTATTTATCATTTATATGTTATTTATTAGGACTAAAACACTTATTATTATGTTTAATCTAAAAATGGCAGAGTATACCAATACTCAAAATATAACCCCCAGGCTGGGCGCAGTGGCTCGCACCTGTTATCTCAGCACTTTGGGAGGCCGAGGCAGGTGGATCACGTGAGGTCAGGAGTTCGATACCACTCTGACCACCAGAGTGAAACCCTGTCTACTAAAAACACAAAATTAACCCGGCTACTTGGGAGGCTGAGGCAGGAAAATCACTTGAACCTGGGAGGCAGAGGCTGCAGTGAGCAGTGAACCGAGATTGAGCCATTGCACTCCAGCCTGGGCAACAAGAGCAAAACTCCACATTAAAAAAAAAAAAAAAAAAAAAAAAAAATATATATATATATATATATATATGCACACACACACACACACACACACACACACACACACACAACACACACACACACACACACACACCTCCTTTTAACTTCTAGGAAAACGGAAAACTGAGATCCTAAATTTGAAGTTTCAGAAAAAGAACATACTTTAAAACATTTCTTTAGAAGTGTTCTAGTTTGTGTTATAATCACTAACTATCAGAGTTAAAGAAATTAAGTCACAAAAATATGCTCAGTATACTCATGCCAGTGTTATTTCACATTAACAAAGTCAACAGTCACTTTTGACTCTTCCTATCAAAATAAAAAGGAAAGATTGTAGTTGCTAACATACACAGCTGAGAAACACATTTGGAAAACTAATACTGTGTTCTTTTAAAAATGAATAATTGTATATATAATACAGAAGTAAGTCAGCCTAGTAAGACAAGGCTGAAATTTTACCTAGAGAAAAATTTGATAAACAATCACAGCTTCAAGACAAAATAGCTAATGATCCATAACATGAAAATTCAATTGACATCAGAATTAAATTCTTCATATAAGATATCCAAAGTCCAAATACGTAATACAATGATCATGTTATATGCTTATGTAAGTCCAAGGTCTTATGTCATTCATTTGACCTGTATTATTAATATTTCATTCATTAATTCAATATTTACGGAGTATCTATTTTATCTATCTATCTATCTATCTGTCTGTCTGTCTATCTATCTATCTATCTATCTATCTATCTATCTATCTATCTATCTATCTATCTATCTCAGGCACGGAGGCATATAAAGTAGAATGGCTCCTAGCAACAGGCATCAAATAATTGTACTAACAGATTATGTTTAGCTTATTACATAAAAACTGTTGTATTTAGATGTAAGTCCAAGCAAAAATCAGGGGGAGGGAGGAATAACTTTAAGAATGTCACATTCTAGTTTTTAACTCTAGCTATACATGAGAATCACCTGGTATCTTTAAAAAATAAAAAGAAAAATCAAATGTTCCTAGGTCCCAATGTCACTTATCCTCATTTCCTCCCCTATTCCTCCATTCATATATGGAATTGGTCTGGAATAGGTCCCGTAGCACACTTCTCCTGCTACACAAGCCACCCTCAGGTGACTCTGATCTGCAGCCAGGGTTGAGTATCTCTGTTTTAGCCAATCATTATTTTCAAAGTATAAATACAGCTTAATGCTACTGGGATCATCAGAACTTCAAGCCTTTTGTTTGATTCACTATTTGTACTGAGCAGGCTTTTCTATAGCTCTGAAAAAGTAAAAGTTAACTCTGTAGAAAACTCACAGCAATGCAAATAAATTTTGTAGGTAGAGATGCAGATGAGGATATTAATATTTTATATATAATTTGGTAATCTCAGTCCACCATTCTTTCCTTCAGTGACTAGTGTATGTCAGTGTTTCCTAGTCCTTTGATCAGCTTTTCTATAATGTTGGTTAACTCATTAATAAGTTAATTCTTTGACAGGTCTTTACTTTTAAAGAAAAAAAAAAACAGAGCAACTAGCATAACCAAAAAAAAAAAAAAAGAAAACCCACAAATAAAATCCACAACAAAGAGAAAGATTCCCCTTAAACCTCAAAATATGAGCAGAGTGACAAACCAGACAGTTATGAGGCCCACAAAGTATCAGCATTTGTGTATGATGAGGCAGAGGGAAGGCACGGGGTTTTTCTGATGGCCCTGGGAACAGGAGAATCCCTTCAACCTCCCCTGAAGCCTCAATGGCATACTAGTCTCAGAATAGCAGCCTCATCTGGGAAAGGCTCTGAAGGATCTTGTTCTCAGGCTGAGAACAAGAACAATGCCATGCAAATAGGTGTTAGAGCAGTCTGGGCCATGTAAACTCTTGAAACTGATACTTCTTTTAGAAAAACTCCTAGGAGTAGACTCCAGACTGAGAAGAACAGGGCAACAGAAGCAAAGACAAGAAAAGTTCCAGATAAAAGAGAAAGGGAGCAGAAAAGATCTCAGAAAGGATGAAACCATACTTTGAAAAATCACCTTGTGAACACAACACAAGAGGGAGCTCTAGAGTTATGAAGCTGAAAAGGCTATCCTGGCCTATTCCTCTCACCATACAGGAAACTTACTGCACTGAAAAATGAGCGACAGAAGTATTAAGAATTCCACTTAAAACTATTATAAGGAAACACAGACTGGAGTAGAATCATGTCTCTACAGCGTGAAGTAAATTAAGAAAATTACAGAAGCTCTGAAGAAACATAAGACTCAGAAATTAGGTGACTGGAGAAGGAATTGAAATGAGAGGTGATAGAACTAAGAATTAAAAATAAAAAAAATTATTTCAGAATGAAAAGTACAATGCTTAATGCATTAGGGAAAAAAGGAGGATGGCTTTAAAAATAAAAAGATAAAAAGTTTTGAGAAAAAGTAATAAATAGAAAAGATTTTAAAAGATGAAGATCCAAGATAATATAAAGGGTACAGAGGGGAAACAAAATACAATAAATACCAAAAGGTATAATTCAAGAAAAAAAAAGTTCCTAAAACAAAAGATGACCTGAAACTACACATTTATTATGACTTTGAAAAGACATAGTTTATGCCAGAACACAATGGAGTAAAATATTAAATATACTCAATGAAAGAAAAGGTGAGCCATGGGTTTCATATCCGTCCAAATGAACCTTCAAGTATAAAGGTTGCAAACAAACTGAAAAGAACATGCAACATGCAAGTACTTGGGGAATACCATGAACACTGCCTGAGAATCTACTCAACTCCAGGGCAGGGGTCAGCAAACTTTTTCTGTGAAGGGCCAGAGAGTCAATACTTTTGGCTTTACAGGTCCTATGGTTCCTGTCACAACTGCTCAGCCCAGATACTGCAGTGTTTACGAAGGCAGCTATAAACAAAACATAGAGAGATCAGTCACATATGGCTTGTGGGTCATGGTTGCTGACCCCTGTACTAGAGAATGAGCTTCAGAAACCAAAACAAACAAACAAAAAAACTAGAAAGGACTCAACATGAGGACTGGTGCTGAGAATTAAATATATATTTACCAGTAGAACTAAGACTACCTGATGGTTATCAGGGTCTACAGTATAGCTCGTAATGGCTAAAAGCTCTGACAAACTATTTTTAAAAATGGGAGGAAAGTGGTGAATGTACATGAAAAGTAAAATAAGCTCACTTACTGCCTTAAATGCATTAACTACAAGTCAAGCAATAGTATTTCAAATCAGAAGAGAAAGAGGGTAGGGAGAAGTGCTAGTTAACTAAATGCTCATAGGAATTAACCCATTTATAGTAGCCCAAAAGGTATTACATAAGGTATCAGTATAAAGAACCATTAGAACAAAAACACAAACCTACCTAAATATCAAAAGATATACCAAAGCAAAGAGCAAACATACAAACAAAACATTAAGAAAGACAGTAGGCTACATACAGTTCATCCAAGAAAGTGGAATACTATATATATATAGTTGCTTATATATTTTAAAAGTGGAAGGATAAACCATAAAATTAAAAAAAAAAAAGATTTCATCTGAAAGAGTGAGTAGGGTAGAAGAGTCAGGAATATGAACAAGAATCCTCTGTAGAATGACTTCAAAATTCTACATAATTCTGTCACACAATTATAAGATAAATTTAAAAAGCAGTAATTCTTAAACAATAAAATTTTTTTTAAAAACCAAATGAGCTGTTGGTGTAATTACACACAGAAGTGAGTGTAATAATTTAAAAACACAGTAATTTGACTGTACATCCCTACTATGTTATAACCTATAGGTTTAAACAAAGCTGAAAAATGCAAGAAAACATAAAACGTTTTCAGTAATCAATAATAATGCAAGCTGTTGTCTTTGAACTGTAGTATAAATCAAATGCATAATTAAATCAATGTCTCTGGACTTTTGGTGAAGTTGAAGGAACTCTACATAGTAAGACTGATAAGATTAAGTTAAATCCCTTTATCTTTGAATCTGAAATTTCAATATAAATTCATATTTTGTTTTGTTTTTCTAAAATTATATTTATCTCCTAGCTCTATTCATTAAAAAGTCCTATCAACAATGACCAATCCAGTAGAAGGGAGTATTCCCAATGCCCAGATTTTAGCCTCTACCATTTCCCAAAGCAACCAGACTCCTTTTAGAAATGACTGATTCCAGGCATAGAGCAAAAAAATAGGACCTGCAATAATTTGTCATCCTAGAAGACAAGGAGGCTATTAAGCCACTAGATGTGAGATAAAGGTCATGTCAAAAGGACACAGGAACCATCCTGAAACAGCATCCAACAGCCAAAGACAGATATGTGAGGCATCAGTAAGAATAACTGAAATGAGGCCAGGCGTGGTGGCTCATGCCTGTAATCCCAGCACTTTGGGAGGCCGAGGTAGGAGCACTGCTTGAGACTAGGAATTTGAGGCCTTCCTGGCCAACATAGTGAGACCCTGTCTTTTCTACAAAACAAAATTTAAAAAAAACTGAATCCATGTAAAACAAGTATTTATATGCATGAGTTCATAATACTAAGGAGAAAAAAAAATCATTACTTACTTTCAGAGAATGCTAATGAATAGAATTCGTTATTGTTGAAAACTGACAAAGGAAAAGAATCAAGCACTTGTTCTGCTTTTATTATAAATCAGAACTTCAGAGTAATCAAATGGCCGACAAGGTGAATTTTCTCTTTACAGATGTATTCCAGTTAATAAACAGAGGTCTGATAAAGACATGTCATCACTTTGCAACCACCAAGAAAAAAATGCATGTAGGCAATGAGCATCCATTTTGAGAGCATCACAGAAAGGCATTACATACTTTTTGAGGTAAGTACATGGCCCAAAAAACCCACACTGGATCAGCTCTCTAGATCTAATTACCAACTTGTCAGAAATACAGGGAATAGAGGAACATAGTCAATGATACCATGGGGATGCAATCATAAATATTCAGGCTATAAAAAGATCTATAGGAAAATCCTGCATGACATGTTTCTTCAACAACAAAAAATTCCAAGAAAATAGTTAGAGGGGAAACCAATGAACTAAAAGAGACTTAAGAGATATAGTTAAGGCCGGGCGCGGTGGCTCACGCCTGTAATCCCAGCACTTTGGGAGGCCGAGGCAGGCGGATCACGAGGTCAGGAGATCGAGACCATCCTGGCTAACACGGTGAAACCCCGTCTCTACTGAAAATACAAAAAATTAGCCGGGCGTGGTGGCGGGCACCTGTAATCCCAGCTACTTGGGAGGCTGAGGCAGGAGAATGGTGTGAACCCGGGAGGCGGAGCTTGCAGTGAGCAGAGATCGCGCCACTGCACTCCAGCCTGGGCAAAAGAGCGAGACTCTGTCTCAAAAAAAAAAAAAAGAGATATAGTTAATCATAATGTATGTGTCTTATTTGGACTACAAACAGGCAAAATGAACCCCAAACCAAAAAAAACCTAAACAAACAAAAAACCCCACAAAAACACACAAACAAGATCAAGAAAATGCATGAATTCTGAACTGAATCTGATATTAAGGAATTATTTGTACTGTTTTGTAGAAAGTGTATTTTATTATGTTTTTAAAAAGTTCTTATCTAAGGTCCGGCATGGTGACTCACACCTGTAATCCCAGCACTTTGTGGGGCCGAGTCTGGAATTCAAGACCAGCCTGGACAACATGGCAAAACCCTGTCTCTACTAAAAATACAAAAATTAGCCGGGCATGGTGGCACACACCTGTAATCTCAGCTACTCAGGAGGCTGAGGCAAGAGAATCTCTTGAACCCAGGAGGCGGAGGTTGCAGGGGGCCGAGATCGCACCACTGCACTCCAGCCTGGGAGACAGAGCGAGACTCCGCCTCAAAAAAAAAAAAAAAAGTTTTTATCTAAGACAATAAAGATAGTAAATGGAATATTTACAGATGAAAGGACATGACATCTAGGATTTACTTCAAAATAATTCATATATTGATAACTGCTAAAGCTTAGTTGAAGACCACGTATTTTACTGTGGCAAACTACAAATACTATTTCTGTATTTGATTTGATTTGAAACATACCTAAAAATAATCAAGGTTGTCATTTCATACTTTTTTCTTTTTTTGAATACAAGATATTTTAAATGCAACTAAAACTGTTTTGCAAAATGCTTACAACTTAAAACACATAATTCTTCTATGAAGACACTGTGTACTAAAAATAAGAAAAAAATTGACTTGCTGGATTTGTTAAAATGTTGATGAGCAGATTATAAAAATTTAATTTTTAGAAAATATCTTGTCTTTAAAAAGAAACAGCAGCTGCTGCTGTTAAACATAATATGAAACATTTTTAAAAATCACATTTAAAAATGTACAACTCTTTTATAACCTTAAAAAAAGACTCTCCAAAACCAAGATGCTACAGTAAAATTTACTAACTGGCAAAAATGATGTTAGTAATTCCAAAGATACTAGGTTTTTGGACTTAAGTACAATTTCATATAAGAAAACTTCAAGTATTTTAAAGTGTGTGCTGAGTGTTAGTTTATTCTATGTCACATACTTGAAGCCTTGAAGCCCATGGGCCACATATGACTTACAGATAAGTTATTTTGCTTGCATGTATTTTTTAAGAAAAACTGACTCAACATTTAAAATTCAGGAGATTTCACATAAAAATCCAGGTTTTGACAGTCCTACATGTGACAGTGGGCTAGAACCTGGGGCTCTCCTTTTCACCACCGGCCCTCTCTTACCTCGTTCCTTCGCACAGATTACAGCCTGTCTCCTTAGCATTTGTGTTTGTGATCAGTAGTTATAGCCTAACATTTTGAGAGTGGTTTCTCCCTCATTCTTAACAAAGAAGTAGAATAGCAAAAAAGACGGTGTCTATGAACTAATATTATTCACTTTTGCACTTACAAAATGCAAAAAACAAAAAAACAAAAAAACCCAAACCAGCATTTGTTATTCTTGCAGCACAGAAATAAAATGCTATCTGCATATTTTTAAATGCTTTTCTTTAACAGGGCAGCAGGGCTTACCTTCAGATCAAGGCTGCTAAGGCTTACAACATCATCATCTTTCTCTCTGCGTTTTCTTTTCTAAAAGAAAAATAGAGATTTCATTCTCATATAAAAGGAATGCATATTACCTCACAAAACAAAGACTCTATAAAACTAGAAAAATCAATTTAAAAAAGTTAAGCCTTTGGCTATAGTCACAAGAAAATTACTTTGAGGCCAGGCGCGGTGGCTCACGTCTGTAATTTCAGCACTTTAGGAGGCTGAGGAGGGCGGATCGTCTGAGGTCAGGAGTTCGAGACCAGCCTGGCCAACGTGGCGAAACCCTGTCTCTACTAAAAATCCAAAAAAAAAAAAAAAATTAGCTGCGCGTGGTGACACACACCTGTAGTCCCAGCTACTCAAGAGGCTGAGGCAGGAGAATCGTTTGAACCTGGGAGGCAGAGGCTGCAGTGAGCCGAGATTGCGCCACTGCACTCCAGCCTGGGTGACAGAGCAAGATTTCCTCTCAAAAAAAAAAAAAAACAAAGAAAATTATCTTGAGGAGAGACGCTCATGAATTGTCTTTGGAATAGATACTATCTGAACAGTCTCCCCTGACTAAGTCATCACTGCTGTGAAGTGGCTACCCTATTAAAATACTACTTAAGTTTTTCAGAACAGAACTCTTATGTAAATCAAGGGCTGTCTGTACTTGTTAGAGAAAAAGTAAAAATTTTTTAAATATAAAATCAGCTAGTTTTTTTTTTTTGAAAAGGAACACATTATTTATCTTGGGGGCAAGGTCTTCACTAGAAAAAAAAAATCCTTTTCTCATGGCCCAAAGTAATTAAGATTTGTTGCCTGAGGCAGGATTGATTAACTAGAAGGTGAACAGCCATGTCCCTGGAGTACTTTCCACTTACCATTTATCACTTTCATTCAGCCCTTCTGGCACCAGTAGTGGCAAAACTGTGTACATATCTACCATTTCTGGTACTTAATTAATAGTGAATAAGCACCCACGGGTAACACTTCATTTTCCCACATCTCAAAATAACTTTTCAGGTTACCTACACAGCTTACTTCTTGGTAACTCTTAAAAAGTGACTAGTTAGGGTTCCCGTCAACTTCCTGGCCCCACAGTGAGGAGAAACTGCTGGGAATTGAATCAAAATTGAACAAGATAGGGCCAATAGAGAAGAAAAAAAAAAAAAAAAAAAAAAAAAAAAAGGAACGGCAAAGTCCAGATAGAAGTGGAGAAAGTAACAGAGCCAGGCAGTCTCAGAAAGCAAGCTACCATAAAAAACAACACGAAGGAGGGTTGTGAAGTCAGAAAAGCTATCTGAACCAAGATTTTGTGTACAAGTTGAAAACTAAATTCACACTAAAATGAACAGAAAATTCTCAAAGTCAAATTCTACACAATATCATTCTATGAAAAAAGAAAACAAGGAACAGAATCTATCCCCTAGGAAATGACTGCACACCAGGAGGAAATGCTCAAAGCAGCAGAGCAAAATTATAACACACTGTTTTGAATTGAGCTAAAAGACATTAGGAAAATGATCTAAGACATGAAAGAACAATATATATCAGAATGGAGGTGTTGGAACTCAAGAAATATTTTACTGATCCCAAGGTCATACCCAGAAGATACAGAAAATTATGAATAATATGATCCCAGGTTTGAAAGGCCAACTAACCATAAATCCTGCTTGTGTATTTATCTGTGAGCCTCTTTGTGTATATTAATGATATGAGCAAAATATAGAAGGATACATATGGTACTGTTGACATGGTTAGAGCAGAGCCTGGGAATGGACTAATATGGAGAAGGAGAAGAAGTGGGGAGGAAACTGCCTAGCAATATTAGACTGTACTAAGGGGAAAAAAGCACATATATGATCATACTTATGCATTTATATGAAATTATATTTTGAATCACTTTTGCTATTTTTCCTAGATAAGCATAAGAATCATGATCTATTTGTACGTACTTTATATATGTATTATGAGCTAATAAGTTTTAAGTACAAAAAGAATCAATTTTCTGTTATCACTTCACACAAAATTAAATGCCTCTGTAAAGTCCTGCTATAAAAATAATAGAGTCCCTCTATGCTGAGATGATTAATAGCAGAAAATCATTCATTATATATATTAAATATATATACACAATGTGCAATCAAGCATTTTTATATTTTCAACCAAGAAAAAAAGGCAGTAGAGGATGTATAAAAATAATTTCATGTTTCATAATATATTATCAGATTTAACATTGAAAGGAATAAGAGAAAGGATGGCATAGAGTTAAAGATTAATAGATGTGAGTACTTTGCAAAATATGTTTTATATTTACTTGAAACAAAAAGTTATTACAGCTTGTTAGCAGAAAAGGACTAAATTAGGCTGCCAAAGATGGTTACAGGAATTCTGTTCCTCAAGACCCTCAGAAGTAAGGACCACTGATCTGTGTAACAGACTGAAAGAAACCAGGGAATTAATTCTATCTAATGTCTCGAAATAAAAACCCAGGTATCTACTCACCAAAGTGAAGTCCCAGTTGGGGCCAGGTGTTAAGAATGTGAAGGAGCTGCCTCTCCGAAGGGAACATCTATTAATGGAAAATTCAAACAATAAATAAAGAGATTGACTTTAGCATAATAGAGCATCAAACAGATAAAAAGCTATACTTTTCATACTTTCAAAACCGTTTAAAGTGGCCTGATTTGTCATTCAATCTTAGTAATATGAGAGATGGTCTATATATATATAAAAAACAAACAAACAGGGTATAGGTTTTGGTCATTCTCAGCATCTTTAGAGTGAAAAGGCCTATATAAAATTAGTGAACAGATTATTTTAAAAAGTAATTTGCCAAACTCAACAGAGTTTACCTTAGGAACATACATATAGTTCAAAAACATGAAATATATTAATAGGTTAAATAAAAAACAGCAAACAAACTTCCTAAGTGCAAAAAATTTAGCAACATATTCACGTATAGTATTTTAAAAAACAAAAATAAAAGGATACTCTTAACAAAACCTAACTTCACATTATCTGCATTTCATGTAAATCCCTAATTTTTTAAAACTGCAATTTAACAAACAAAATACAAAGCTATGAATAACTACATTTGAGACAAAGATCTCAAGATTAAAATGTGATTAGAATTTTGTTCTTTACTATTAAAAGATTTTTCTGTGTTTCTTTTCCATTCAATGTAAACACATAAAGCAAGAAAGTCTTATGACAAAACCTGTCTTCACCTTTCTAAAATATAAGCCGCCATATGTTTATAAAGTATAAACCTCTGTGTTTATAAAATATGTAGAAATTACAAAAACATAGCTAGCACAAGAGATAAAGGCAGTTTATAAAGTGTATTTATTATTAATTACTTCAGATGTAAACAAATGTAGAATGAACACATTATTTTTTTCCTTGTGGAAATAAATGAAGATCAACCAAAAGAGAAAAGCAAAGGGTATTTATTCAGTGCTTGCTACAACAAGGGAGTCATCTATCGTCATTTGCATCTTGACAGAGACTAAAAGACAGGTAGACGAGTGTGAAGTTTCATAATGGAAAAAAGAGAAGGCTCAGGTATGGCCTGATGGAGGCTGTTGGCCTGTGGAGCTGTAGGCAGGCTAACTAGAAGTGGAGGCATCCTACTGTGATTGGTTAGGGGTATATCTGGCTTTCACAGGTTGGTTATGAATTGGAAGTGTGACAAAAATTAGGAAGCTGGCAGTTATTAATGAAGTCCTGGACATTTTAGGTCAATTGTTATGGTAGTTATTTGGCTTCTTGGACTGTGAAGTCATTGTCTGTTTATACATGTGATCCTTAAGCTTCATAGTCGTTGTTCATCAAGTTATAGAAACACCACTGATGAGTGTCTTTCCTGCAAAAATGTACAAGCTTAAACCAAATCAAGGGCTTCTGGAGTTTTCTAAGCTAAATATGAAGGAGAAATTTTGTTGTTGTTGTTGTTTTTGTTTTTTTTCCGACAAGGAACACAAAGGAAACTGGCTATAAGGTAAAAGAGGAGGTCTGGAAAGCTTCACAGATGAATTAATACTTAAGTAATACAAAGTATTACTGAATCTGAAAGAAAAATAGCAATTAACAAAGCATTAAGGTGGAGTGAAATGAGTTACATTCTGGAAACTGCAAGTAGTTCCTCACATTTGAGTAAAGAAATAAGGACGGGCTAAAGCATCATGAAAGGCCTCACTTACTGCACTCAGAGAGAATGGCCTTGATCTTGAGTATGTGTGGCAGCCATTGAATCTTAAGTAACGTGAACAATAGATTGTAAGAAGGCAAGACTGCTCAGTTGGGAGGCAGCTCTAATATTGCTTACAAAAGATGACTGGGGCTCTGGCAGCAGTAACAAGATTAGAGAGGAGAAGCTGATTTGAGAGACGGTTCGATGTCAAAATTGCCAGGAAAGACTTTCCCCTTTTCCTCCCTAAACCTGTTCAGTTATTACCAAGGTTCTTGACCTGGGGAAAATATGATGCCACTAACAGAAATTAGATGCAAAGATCTTAAGATATTTAAAACAAACATTTCCTAAATAATTATTTGGAGAAGATCAAAACACAGGAAGACTACTCATGGAGCTCAAACTATTTTTGACGGCCTCTTTAGTGGCGCAAAACAATCTAAGAAGCTGATTATTCCATCTTTTCTTGCTACTGCAGAAAAGTCAAGCATCAACAAAGAAAATGGTATTTTTTTCTTGAGAAAACCCTGGAACAAAGTATTTAAACAAAAAAAGTCATCTGAAATAAATTATAATTTGTATCAAGAAATACATAGGATTACTATCATAAACAAATGGTAAAATATTATGGAAAGACAGGACCTCTCTGTCATGAGTCCACAGATCACACTTAAAAATACTGCTCTAGGAATTAATACTCTTAGTGTATTAGGTGCTACTGTATGCTACATGGTTAGCAGGAGCCATCAGTGGGCACTGGCTTAAGAAAAAACAATTATGATGTCTCAGGTTATTTTAAATCTAATACAAATCTACATTACAAAGTGGCATTAACTGTGGCACTTAAAATATTCAGTAAATACTTCCTTTCAGGTTTAAGTATTAGGGAGCATTACAAAACCAAAGCTACTAATTTCTTTATTCCCTAGAAATGACCACACTAACCTCAGAATGCATTTGGCATCTAAAAGCTGGAAAGAAAAATGGTTCTTAAGAATTTTTAAAAGGTTAACTGGAAAAATATTTCCAATCATATGATAAAATTCTTTCCAGCAGTATCTGTAACCAGCTTTACAGTAATGCTATTTTTTCCCACTTCAATAACAAGATTCTATTTATTTTGAATACCCATGGAAAAAAGGAACCCAAAAAACAAACCGTGCCCACAAAGGATGTGAGACAGTGCCAACTTTCACAAATCTTGGAAAGACATATACTCATTTTTTCACAAGCGTCAGACTCAAAATGTAATAGCTATTTTAAATCCTTGTGGGGAAAAAAATGATTTCATAAAACATTAAGATTGCAAGTTATTTTTCCAGAGGATACACAGAATAACCTCCTAAAAAGGAGGGCTTAAAGGATGAAATGTAGAGCGAAAAGTGGCAGTCCACCTTTTCAAGAATTTTTGTCCATATATCCAATGTATTTTTCTATATATCCAAATAATTACAACATTTAAGGAATAAAATAAACTAATACATTAAGGAATTAGCTTAGTGTATTAAATTAAGTTCCCGATTTGACTCCTGTAGATTTTCCTTGGCCTTTAATGTTTTCCTTTCATATCATTTGGTATGTTTTTGAACAATGTATTTACACTAAATTAGGTTTAGTCTAAAGAAATCATAATTAAAATGATAAAGCTGCTGTTCAAAAGAAAAGCATCTTGTTAATTCATTCTTAAGCCAAATTATGTTTTCAGAGTTTCTGATTTGTGTCACCACCTCCTCCATCATGCCAGATAAGACCTGACCTGAAATTATAAATATTTTCAAAAAACGTATTGAAAATTACTATTACCAACAGGAAAAAAGCATTCTTAAAAGCATAATTTACCCTCAAGATGCATTCACCATAAAAAATGGATGTAGAATGAAAACGAGTTTCAGAAAAAGATTTTAAAAAGGATAATGTTATCATTTATTGGGTGCCTACTATGTGACAAGCACTGTACATATACTCTTATCCTAAAAATAACATTTTTTCCAATTAAATAAAAAATGTAATCTGTAAATGCCAAACATATAAAAAGAATTATACCATACATGTAAAAAGAATGGTATAATTTATCCTCTGCAGTTAACACTTTTTACATTTGGGGTGTGCCAAGCAACTGAGGTTCTCAATTTCTTTGCAAATCAGGCAAAAACAAACTAAATTATTATAGAAACAATTCATTTATTTGGGTCAAATATCTGATGTAGTAGACATCCACTACTGTTTTGGCTGTTCAGCATCTTTGCTATTAAGGAGTTGTCTCTTCTTCCACTTCTGACAATCATGTAGACTATGTCTCCTATCATACTAGGGTTTTCTCATCTGCATGAGAGTCTCAACTAATACATACATCTTGGAATATCTTGTCTAGAACACAGTTGAGCATCTAGAAACCAGCAAACACCACCCCCAAAGCACCCCAGACATCCTAATGTCCTGCATTAATTCTCAGGCCTTGCCCACAGCAGCAAATTCAGGGAAGAGGGAACAGGGGATAATGACAACAGCAAGTAACAGAAGGAAAGAGAAATTCTGAAGGCTTCCATCATTAACAATCCAGTACTCTTTGGAAACAGTGTGGCAATTCCTTAAGATGTTAGTGGTAAGTTTACCGTAGGACCTGATAATTCCACCCCCAAGAATTTACCCAAGAGGAGTGAAAACGTATGTCTACACAAAGACTTTTTTTTTTTTTGAGACGGAGTTTTGCTCTGTCACCCAGGCTGGAGTGCAGTGGTACGATCTCGGCTCACTACAACCTCCGCCTCCAGGGTTCAAGCGATTCTCCTGCCTCAATCTCCCGAGTAGCTAGGATTACAGGGGCACGCCACCATGCCCAGCTAAATTTTATATTTTTAGTAGAGACAGGCCATGTTGACCAGGCTGGTCTCGAACTCCTGACCTCAGGTGATCCACCCGCCTCGGCCTCCCAAAGTGCTGGGATTATAGGCGTGAGCCACCGCGCCCAGCCTACACTAAGACTTACATGCAAATGTTCATAGCAGCATTATCCATAAAAGCACCAAACTGGAAACAAATCAAATGTACAACAGCTGGTAAATGGAGTTGACAAAATGTAGTATATTCATATAATGGAATATGGTTTGGCAATAAAATGAAATACTGATGTAAGTGAAAGAAGGCAGAAGCAGAAAGACTACACATTGTATGATTCCACTTGTATGTCCTGAAAATAGAAATTTATAGAGCTAGAAAGCAGATCAGTGGCTGCCTAGGGCTGGGGTGGGAGCAGGGATATTTGGGGTGATGAAATGTTCTAACAATGGATTGTGGTAATGACTGCACAACTCTATAAATTTACTGATAATTACTGAATTGTTCACCTACAAAGGGTGAATGTTATGATATACAAATCATATCTCAATAAACTATTTAAAAACATAGTCAACTTATTTGGGACCACATGGCCTTACAAGCTTCTGTGAGCATGCCTTTTATTTTTGGCAACTACTACTACTAATAATAAAGATCCTGGGTTGTCAAGAATTGATTTAAGGCTATACCTTTAACTGGATATCCACTGTACAAATCCATCAATTAATTTTACTGGAAAAACAAAATTCAAAGAGTAAGCCTTATCACTGTTGGTAGATCATAGGTCATACTATTATTTTTCTACCAATGGACAGCATTATTTCAAATCTGCAAAAAAGGAAAATATAAAATCCTTAAAAGGATCAGTATGTATTTATATTTCTGCCATATGGGTGATATGTAAAGTTCTATGGCTTTCCCTAAGGCCCCGAAAGACAGAAATAAAATTATTTAAACATTACTTGTGTCCAATTTTCAGGACCTTAGACATAGGTACTATGAAGTGAGATTTAGAGACTAAGTAACTTGCCCAAGGTCCTTAAGAGCCAGAATTTGAACCTAGGAAGTCTGACTGCTTTTAATGCCTAAAATCTTTAAACGTTACTCTTTGTCTATGGGTTCTAGTCTAAAAGAATGTTAAAAGAATATACATTCTCAAAGGAGAAGACAGAAAATAATTAGGTAAATCAAAGCTGAGGCCAGAACAGACTTGGTATCAAAAAAACTAGGCCAGAAAAGCAGTCCTCGTTCTGAGCTCTCAATCATGTAGTATAACCTAGGGTTCTTTAGAAAGACCCTTGCTGGCCGGGCACAGTGACTCATACTTGTAATCCCAGCACTTTGGGAGGTCAAGGTGGGCGGTTCACGAGGTCAGGAGATCAAAACCATCCTGGCCAACATGGTGAAACCCCGTCTCTACTAAAAATACAAAAATTAGCTGGGCGTGGTGGCGCTTGCCTGTAATCCCAGTTACTCGGGAGGCTGAGGAAGGAGGATCACTTGAACCAGGGAGTCGGAGGCTACAGTGAGCCGAGATCGCGCCACTGCACTCCAGCCTGGCGACAGAGCAAGACTCCATCTCAAAAATAAATAAAAAAATAAAATAAAAAAGAAAGACCTTTGCCTACTACCCAGAACTGGGAGGTGAGGAGAAAGACGTTAAGAGGCCTGTCATATTGTAGGGAATATCTACATAGAAAACATAACTGCTGCCCCAGAGAAACTTGCACAGGTGTATAGAGGAGATGTATCAACAAACAACCTAAAATCCCAAATACATCTTATACAACATACCAAATATATTCCACCTGAGTTATAAAAATTGTATATTATAATATCTCACTGTACAGAATATCATAATGTATTTAGCTTCCTCCTCCTGTTTTTTCTAACCTTTCTACTACACAAATGTGCTAGGATATACTTTCTTGTACATACATCCATGTATACTTGCCCATTACTTTAAGATAAATTTCTGTGGGTAGAACTGCTTGGTTTAAATATTTGCATTAAAATTTTGTTTTATTTGCTATATTTCCCTTCAAATACACATAATGGGAATATCAGAAAGAGAGGAAAAGAGAAAAGAGCAGAAAAAAACTTCAGAGAAACAATGGCTGAAGCTTCTCCAAATTTATTGAAAAACAACCACCTACACATTCAGAAAAAGCTCAATAAACTTCAAGTAAGATAACACAAAGATATCCACAGACAGACACATCATAGTAAAAATGGCAAAAGTTAAAGATAAGAAAATCTTAAAAGCAGCAAGAGAAAAAAACACTTGTTATTTACAAGGAACCCCAAAAAGATTCTGACTTCTTAACAGAAACAATGGAAGACAGAAGCAGTGTGATAACACATTCAAAGTGCTCAAAGAAAAAGAAAATTTCAGCAAAGAATCCTATACTATCAAAATTATCTTTCGAGAATGAAGGAGAAACAAAGACATTCCCATAAAAACAACAACAACAACAACAACAACAACAAAACAAAGAAAAAAAACAAACAGAGA
The DNA here is from genome assembly GCF_000001405.40 of Homo sapiens. Taxonomy (NCBI): domain Eukaryota; kingdom Metazoa; phylum Chordata; class Mammalia; order Primates; family Hominidae; genus Homo; species Homo sapiens. The sequence goes on along the minus strand of NC_000010.11, from coordinate 5,419,681 downwards.
ATTTGTTGGTAGCGGACTTGCCTTACAAGAAATACCATAAGAATTTCTGGCTGAAAGCCAGTGACCACAGACGGTAATCTGAGTTCACATACAAAACCCAAAAAAGCCTAGTAAAAGCAGTGTCAATGAAAAAAATCAGTAAAGAAATTCAAATGCTATAAATTAGAAAATTCTCACTTAATGCAAAAGAAAGCAATAAAGGAGGAATAGAGAAACAAAAGACATATATAACACGACAAAATGGCAGACATAAATCCAACTATATCAATAAATAACGTTAAATGTGATTGGAGTAAACAACCCAATCAAAAGAAATGGACAGCCAGACAGGATCAAAACCAACCAACCAACCAACCAACCAACCAACCAACCAACCAAGATCCAACTATATGCTGTCCACAGGAGACACACTTTAGTTTCACAGATATAAACAGCTTGAAAATAAAGGGATAAACACGTATCATGCAAACAGCAAGCCACAAGAAAGCTAGAGTAGCTATATTAACATCAAACAAAATGGCCTTTCAAAGAAAAAAATGTTACCAAAGAGGGATATTTTATAGTGATAAACAGATTGATCCATCAGGAAGATACAATTACAAACATATGTGCATATAAAAACAGCACAATCTCAATAAATGTAAAAGGATAGAAATAATACATAATACAAAGTGTATTTTCCAGCTGCAATGTAATGAAATTAGAAAAAATTTGTGAAAGTCACAATTATGTGGAAATTAAACAATTCATTCCTAAATAACTAATGGCTCAAAGAAGTCAAAAAGAAATCAGAATTTGAGATTAATGATAGTGAAGACACAATATATCAAAATTTATGAGATGCAGCTAAAGCAATGCTCAGAGGGAAATTTATAGCTGTATCCCTATATTAAGAAAAAGATCTCAAATCAGTAACTTAATCTATAATCATGACACTGGAAACAAAAAGGGCCAACTAAACCTAAAGCATGCAGACTAATCTGAGCAGATTACTCAGATTACTAAGCAGGAAGAAGGAAACAATAAGGATTAAAGTGAAAATAAAACAAAGAATAGAAGAACAAAGAAAATTAATGAAGCTAAAATCACATTCTTTGGAAAGATCAAGATTGACAAGACTGTAGCTAGATTGACCATCATCATAAAAAGAAAGAAGACACAAATTACAAGAATCAGAAATAAAAGAGGGGACATTACTATTGACATTACATGAAAAGGATTATAAAGAAATACTATGAACAAGGAAGGGTACACCAACAAATTAGATAACTTTGATGAAACAAATTCCTAAAGAGATACAACCTACTGAAACTGACTTAATAAGAAACAAACTATCAGAAGACACCTACAACAAGAGATGAGATTGAATTAATAATAATAATAAACTATCCACAGAGAAAAGTCTAGGCCTAGGTGGCTTTACACTGAATTCTACCAAACATTGAAAGAATACCAATTCTTCACAAACTCTTTCAAAAAAAACAAAACAGTAGGGAATACTTCTTAACTGATTTTATGAGGCCAGTATTATCCCAATACCAAAACCAGACAAGCATAGTACAAGATAATAAAACTACAGATCAATATCTTATGAATATATATACAAAAATATTCAACAAAATATTAACAAAATGGATCCAACAATATATTTAAAAAAGCTATACACAATGACCAAGCAGGACTTATACCAGGAAGGCAAAGTTGGTTTAACATCCCAAAAAATCAATTAATGTAACACATCAGTAATAACAACAACCACATGATCATTTCAATAGACAAAAGAAAAAAAACCCTAAAACCTTTCATGATAAAAACCACTCAAAAACTAGTAACAGAATGGAACTTCCTCAACCTGATAAAGGACATCTACAAAGCTTACAACTAACATCATACTTAATGGTGAAAGATTGTATGCTTTCCCCTTAAGATCAGAAACAAGACAAGAATTTCCCGTCTCTCCACTTCTGTTCAGCGTTGTACAGGAGGCCCTACCCAGGGCAATTAGGAAAGAGAAAAAAGTAAAGGGCATCCAGAGATTGGAAAAAGAAGTAAAACTATTTTTATTTGCTGATGACATGACCCTGTACACAGAAAGTCCTAAAGAAACCACTAAAAAACTATTAGAACTAATGAGCTCAGCAAGGTAGCAGGATCCAAGATCGATATACAAAAATCAATTGTATGTATTCCTATACAATTGAAATTATTAAACTGAAAATAAAGTGATACAAAGCGGGGCAGGGAAGTGCTGCGTAGAGGAGAGCGTGGTCCCTTGCTAGGGCTCCATCCCCAGGCCTGGGCCCACGGACCTAAGTGAGGATAGGCATTTCTGTTTTCCTACCCAAATGTTGCATTTCCCAAGACCACCCTGGCTCACCACACCCCCATCCTGTGCCTATAAAAGCACGCCCCCACCTGTGCCTATAAAAACCCCCCGAGACCCTAGCAGGCAGACACACAGGTGGCTGGATGTCAAGAGGAACACATCGACGTGGGAGTACACCAGCACGCTGGCAGGCCAGCTGGCAGGCCATCGATTCGCAGAATGACGCAGAGCTTGGCCAGGGAGGTTGGAGGAGAATCGGGCAACCTGACACCAGGGCAAAACCATTTCCCTTCTGGCTCCCCCATCTGCTGAGAGCTACTTCCACTCTATAAAAGCTTGCAATCATTATCCAAGCCAACGTGTCATCTGATTGTTCCAGTACATCAAGGCAAGAACCCTGGGATACAGAAGGCCCCCTGTCCTTGAAATAAGGCAGGGGTCTAACTGAGCTGATGAATACAAGCCGCCTACGGATGGCTAAACTAAGAGTACCCTGTAACACAAGCCCACTGAGGCTTCAGCTGTAAACATTCACCCATAGACATGGCTATGGGGTTGGAGCCCCACAGCCTGCCTATCTATATGTTCCCCTAGAGGTTTGAACAGCAGGGCACCGAAGAAGCGAGCACACCTCCAGTGCACGCCCTGCGAGGGGGAAAAGGGAACTTTTCCCATTTCAAAAGAAATGAATCCATTTACAACTGCATCAAAAAGAACAAAATACTTAGGAATAAATTTAGCAAAACATGCAGAACTATACTCTGAAAACTACAAAACACTGTTGAAAATAATTAAAGATCTAAATAATTGGAAAAACATCCCTTGTCCATGGATCAGACTACTTAACTCTCTGTAGAGGGCAATACTCCTGAAAATGATCTACAAGATTTAATGCAATCTCTATCAGAATCCCTGTGGACTCCTTTGTAAAAATCGATTAAGCTGATTCTAAAATTCACATAGAATTGCAGGAGACCCAGGATAGCCACAACAATCTTGGGAAAAAAAGAACAAAGTAGGAGGACTCACATATCCCAATTTCAAAACTTACTATACAAAGCAACGGTAATCAAAACACCATGGTAATGGCATAGGGCTATTACATATAGATCAAGAGAATAAAAGTCAAAGTCTAAAAATAAACTCTCATGCTTAAGGTCAACTGATTTTTGACAAGGGTGCTAAGACTACTCAGTGGGAGAAAGAACAGTCTTCAAAAAATGGTGCTGGGGTACCTGGATAGACACATGAAAAAGAATTAAGTTGGACCGTCATCTCACATTATATACAAAAACTAACTCAAAATGGATTAAAGACCCAAATATAAAAGCTAAAATGATAAAATTCTCAGAAGAAAGCACTGGGGAAAGGATTCATAACAATGGATTTAGCAGTGATTTCTTGGATGTGACACCAAAACACAGGCAACAAAAGCAAAAATAGACAAGTAGGACTACAAACTAAAACATTTTTGTGCTTCGAAGCACATCATGAAAGTGAAAAGACAAACCACAGAATAAGAGAAAATATTTGCAAATAATCTATCTGATAAGGGACTTGTATCCAGAATAAAGAACTCTTAACAACTCAATAAAAAAGAAATTTAAAAATGAACAGGGCCAGGTGCGGTGGCTCACGCCTGTAATCCCAGCACTTTGGGAGGCCGAGGCAGGCAAATCACAAGGTCAGGAGTTCAAGACCAGCCTAGCCAACATGGTGAAACCCTGTCTTTACTAAAAATACAAAAAATTAGCCACACGTGGTGACACATGCCTGTAGTTCCAGCTACTTGGTAGGCTGAGGCAGGAGAATCACTTGAACCCGGGAGGCGGAGGTTGCAGTGAGCCGAGATCATGCCACTGTACTCCAGCCCCGGTGACAGACTGAGACTCCGTCTCAAAAGAAAAAAAAAAAAGAGCAAAGGATGGCCCACCAAAAATGGCCACACACATTACATAAATCCATTCATATGCAATGTCCAGAACAGAGAAATTCCTACAGACCGACAGATTAGGTTTTAGGGCAGAAGGGGTAGGAGAGGAACAATAGCTAAAGGGTACAAATGCTCTTTTTGAGGTGATGAAAATGTTCTAAGTAGTACAATTTAAGTGGGTAAATTGTACTGTACGTATTTGTCTTTCAAATTAGTTTATACTGAGTTTTGCCTGCAGAACGTTTTTCAATAGTCACATAATCATACACACAAATCTTTTTCCTTATGATTTCTGAATCTGATACAGTGCTTAGTTGCTTCTTGCCTCACAATTAATACTATCTTGTAATATTTTACGTATTCTTGTAGATGATCTTACATCTTTTCTGGAAAAGGAATATGTTATTTAATTCTCCATTTTCTCTCCATGGTTCTTCTAACTGTGTCTCACTCTCCTCATGCTGCCTGTGTTACTACGCTTTTCTCACAATGTATCATTTCCTACCTCACACAAAAAATAGAGGCCTGGTGGGAAAGTCCTCAAATTCCTGCTCACAACACACCCCATTCTTCAAAACTATATATCATCCATAGCTTCTTGTTAGGCTAAATCCTCTACCTTGAATTTGGATTCTGTCCTTTTCTGCCTTCTTGGATCCTTGTTCAACCATTTTTCTCCTCTACTGTCTGTTCAACCTCTCCCTCTATTTGTTAACTCAGCACAGCACATCAAGGGAATTTATTCTTTCTTAAGAGTCTATCCCACAAAATTGTGTTATTTCTCTCTATTCTTTCTTGTCTTCCTGTTGCAGTGAAACTTCTCTTCACCAATCCCATTGCCAGCTATCAGATTCGAACAATCATTTTTTCATTTAGACTACTGCAGACTGATTTCCTACCAATCCATCAGCTAAACTTGGAAATTTTAATTTGGTATACACAGCTGGGTCCACAAATCTCCTGAAATGTTTATGTATATGTGCACATTTTTGGGGAATAGTTTTCATAAAATATGAAGAGTGAGATGACTCCAAAATGTTGCTTATTTTTCTCATGGAAGGCAAACTGATCTTTTAAAATGCAAATATGTCATGCCATTGGCTCATTTAAAGTCTTTCAGTATTTCCCCATTACCATGAAGATAAAACCCAAACTCTGTCAAGGCATACAAGGTCTCTTCATGATGTGGCGCTTACCTCTTTAGCATCATCTCTCATGACTACCTCCTCCTTCTCCCCATATTGGTTTCCTCTCCTCTATACAAATATCACTGTTAATATAGTAATAAAATAGAATATATACCCAGAACTCATCAGACTCATTTGCTTCAGGGCCTTTCTACATGCTTCTCTGCCTGAAATCATCCATTTACATCTGCTCTCTAAACTGGTCCTTAAAGACTCAGGGATTACAATAGGAAATCATTTCCTATTCTCTCCAGTCAGGATTAAGTGTTCCTTTTAATCTACGGCATTCTGTGTATATCACTATAATAACTTTTATCACATATTATAATAATTATTAACCTACTTATCTTTCTTCCCCACTAGATTATAAATCTTAAATAGTAACAAGAGTATTTTTCCATTTCCATATTCCTAGTGTTGGCACTCACATTATTTTCTGAACAAATCGCACATTCTCTTCTCAACCTGTTGCAAAACACTCTAAGTTCGATATTGTAACCATTCTTGGAAACCATCTAAGATCAATACTCTCTTCTCATTACCAAATTTAATTTTCATTCCTCATCTAGCTTAATCCTCATCTTATTTTACTTAATCCTCATTTTATTTGACCTATCAATAACATCTGACATAGCTCGCCACGTCCTCTTCTTGAAATTCTTTCTTCATTTGGCCTCCTGGATACTGTTCTCACTTGGTTCCCTTCCTCCTAATTCACTAGCTATCCCCTGAGCTTCGCTTTGTGAAATTTCACTGAGCCAAACACGAGTCATACACTCTCATTTCAATGTATACTTCCACAAAAAGTAAAAAGAAAAAACACGAAAATGGTTGTGATGAACTCTCTAATAGGCATCTCATAACATATCCCGAAGTCAACTTATCCCTTAGTCTTTTCTTTCTCAGGACATGGAAGCCCATTCTCGTGGTGCTCACCATGACAGTTTCGGTCTGAGCAAAGGCATTTGGGAACGCCAGCCTACAGCCAGTTGGGTGTGCAGAACAAAACCATTGTGGTTTTTCCTAAGTCTCCCCTGAGAAACAGTCAGGAGGCGAGGAGACTCAATAAACCCGCCCCTTTGCCACAGGCAGGGAAAATCGCAGTTTGGGGTCTCAGGACCGACCTCGGTCCAAGGCCAGGCACACTGTCACTCCAGCCTGTGCCACCCTCACTTCCAGCGGCCCCCGTCCCCCCCCCCAACCCCGCGGTCACCTCCCCCACCCCCCACTCACCTCCCAGCGGCCCTCGCCTCCCCCTGGCCCTCACCAACACCCCCACTCGCCGCCCCCCACATCCAACTCCCGGCCAGCCCTCCCCTCCCCCCGGCCCTTGCCTCTCCAACACTCACCTCCCGTTCGGCCCTCCGCTCCCCTACACTCACCTCCCGTTCGGCCCTCCCCTCCCCCACACTCACCTCCCGTCCAGCTCCGACCCGGAGGTGTCGGCCGAAGGCCCCGTCGCTCCCTCCGTGCTGAGCCCAGAGGCCCGGCGGCTTCGCCTCCGCGGTCGAGGCTGCTTCTGAGCCGCCAGCTCGGGCTCCATGGCACGGAGGAGGGGGTGGGGCGGTGGCCGGGTGCCCGGGAGACCGGCAGGGACGGGCACGATGCCCGCCAGCCTCTGCCAGGCAGAAAGCGCCTGTCAGCGGACTGCAGCCGCCACCGCCGTCATCCGGGGATTTGAAAATGGCGGCTGAGCAGCGATCAGCCAATCAGTGAGCGCGCAGCGGTTCCTAGGAGACGTGGAGTCCCGCCCCTCCACCGCTCCCGGGATCTACTTGCCTAGGAAAGAACCTAGGAAAATTTGCCCTTAACTCCTGAGCGCATCCCTGAGTCCCTAAGGCCCGGTACCTCCTTCATTGTTCATTAGGACTTTCACTACAGGCCAAGGCAAATGGACTGGAAGCATTTTAATTCACCAGATCTTTCTTAGCATTTGAGGAGAAGAGAGGTCCAAACTAATGACCTGTAAACAAGGCATGTTTATTGGCCATATTCACACTGAATTATTGTGCACGTGGCCAATATGAGATATATTTCCAATTACCAAAGGTTATGCAAGTGTGTTCCCGGGACTGTCTCTAGGGAACCAGCAAAATCTAATTATGAGCCCTTATGTCTTCCAATAAGCATGACACAGTCTCTCCCTAGCAAAACAGAATGAAGTGACTTCATCCTTTGCTTGTAAAAGTCAGCAAAAGACATAATATAAAATAAAAGACCGCTTCAAGTAAAAAAAAAATTGTTAAACAAATTACACTTTCTTTGATTTTAAATATTGCTTTATATGTGTCAAAGTCTTTAAAAATAGCTTCTCCTGACCGGGCGCTGTGGCTCACGCCTGTAATCCCAGCACTTTGGGAGGCTGAGGCAGGCGGATCACGAGATCAGGAGATCAAGACCATCCTGGCCAACATGGTGAAACCCTGTCGCTACTAAAATACAAAACTTAGCTGGGCAGAGTGGCGCATGCCTGTAATCCCAGCTACTCAGGAGGCTGAGGCAGGAGAATTAGTTGAACCAGAGAGTCGGAGCTTGAATTGAGCCAAGACCGTGCCACTGCACTCCAGCCCAGTGACAGAGCGAGACTCCGTCTCCAAAAAAAAAAAAACAAAAAAACACTTCTCTTTTGCCAGTATATTTCCACTTATGGAAATTTATCCTAAAAAATAAAATTATATAAACATGAAGCTATTAATGACATTGTTTATAATAGAAACATTTAAAACAACCTAAATAAACAATGATTTATAGCTCATCCACTGAGAAGAATATTTTCAGCCAACAAAAATGAAGTGTGAAGTATGTAATAGTATACTGGTAATTTGAAATAAAAACATGAAGTATAGAGGTATATTCAGTATATTCAAAGTTATGAATTACAAGAGATTATACAAAGAAAAAAGATAATGTATTAAAATGTATTAAATGTATTAAAAAGTCAATGTATTAAAATGTCTCTAGGTAGACTTTAGGTATTCAAAATTTTTATTTTTATTTTTTGCATTTAATTTTTTTAAAAATAAGGACATATTGAATTTGCAGTACCTTTATAACATGAGGGAAAAATGTTTTTGTTTTAAAAAGAGTAAGAAATTAGGGAGTAACATTGAGATGTGAAGCCAGCTAGACTTCCTGGGTAGAGTGGGGACTTGGAGAACTTTTCTGTCTGGCAAGAGGATTGTAAAACACACCAATCAGTGCTCTGTAGCTAGCAAGAGGATTGTAAAATGCACCAATCAGTGCTCTGTAAAAAGCACCAATCAGCAGGACCCTAAAAGTAGCCAATCACAGGGAGGATTGAAAAAAGGGCACTCTGATAGGACAAAAATGGAACATGGGAGGGCACATATAAGGGAATAAAACCTGGCCACCCCAGCCAGCAGGGCAACCCACTGGGGTCCCCTTCCACACTGTGGAAGCTTTAGTTCTTTCACTCTTTACAATAAATCTTGCTGCTGCTCACTCTTTAGGTCTGTGCCACCTTTAAGAGCTGTAACACTCACCATGAAGGTCCATGGCTTCATTCTTGAAGTCAGCGAGACCATGAACCCACCGGAAGGAACCAGCTCTGAACATAAGTTGACCTTGGTCAAGAACCACTTCTGTTCTACCTTCCCCATCCCTCCCCAAAAATTAAAGAAGAAAGTACTGCTTTGTAGCAGTTAGAGTGTAAGAATACAGAAATGTTCTTAATATTTGGGGAGTTGGTCTCCACCAAGACAGAGCTTCAGAGGATGCAGATGTTTAGATTATGAACAAAAATAAACCTGTAAGAGCAATTCTTCAAGTCAGGTCCCAAGTAGGTCACAACTACTCTGTGTCCAGAAAACTCACACCCCTTTGGGATTTTCACAATTTACCCGAATTGACCAATCAGGGCTCACCTGATGTAACCGATCAGAACTCATCTGCTTTATCCAATCAGGGTTCAGCTGTATTACCCAATCTGAACTGAGCAAGTCTGAATCTTTCCTTTGCATAAACACATCTGATTGGAAACCTGGACAAGAACTTTTTCTATAGAAGCCAAACCCTCCCCTTTATTCTCTGGAATCACCTTTCTTTTACTCCGAAGGCTGTGTCTCCCTGGTTTGCAAACTGTTCACTAGAATAAAGTCTCCTTTCTCCAAACTTCCTTTTCAGAGAACTTTTGTTCACAAGATAGGACCATGTGAATCGCTGACGCTTGGTCTTTTTACCCACAGAAACAGCCGTTTCATATTAATAGTTTCAACATACTTCGGTGAGATCCTCAGAATTCAGGGTCTGTCCTCAGCTTTGCAGGTCCTGAAACTGGTTTTGATTGTGTCATCAGAGGTGGTCAGTCCTTTGGTAACTTGTAATAACTACTCACAAAATGATAGATACTGCAGGATGTCAATGTGGGGATTCCAGTGGTGGGGGTGGGCACTTCTTTCCAGTGACCTGAATACTATTGTTTTATGCAGAGCAACTGTTTCCAATTTTCATTCACTTGAGAACTTATGATTTTGTTCAATTATTCACAAGAATTTATTAAATTCCTGCTATAATATGCCAGGATCTGTGCTAGACATTAGGGAAATAAGGAATAGAAGACAAATTTTCATCAGAAAATGGCTGGGTACCATAGAAGAAGAGCAAAGAAAAGTGACCGCTCTGAGGGTTGGTCATTGAAGACCTGGGAAAGGCTGGTGACATCTCTTGATCTTACAAGAGATCAACTTTCTGGTGTCTGAATGCCATTGTCCCCATGTTCTATGTCTTACACTGTATAGAACAGTCCCAAAACCATGACAAATGTTCTCTGAATCCTCTCTCTTTCAGTTCCCCACAAATCATCCTTCTCCCTTAAAATATTCACCGGGATAGGGTTTGAGGAAATTGTTTTGATTTCAGCTTTCATATATATAAAATCAGACTCTAGAACTCCCTCTCTGAGAAGATATTCCTACTAACTTGACTAGAGCAAAGTGTAACCCAAACTTTTTCAACCATGGATTTGCAAAACAAATATTCTTTTGGGGAACTTCCTCAAAGATTATTTCCAAAACCTTCAGCCCTATGTGATGACACCAATCATTTTGCAAGTTGATATTAAATAAATTCAACAATCAATAAATGAATGTAAATTATTATGTAAATCAATAATTTAAAAACCTATTTTCTTTCATTATCTAAGTAAATCAAACTATTTTTGCAAAACTGCTTACCAAGTTTTATATATATATATATATATATATGTATATATTAGAGTACAAAGTGTTCATCAAAACACTTTATTAATTTCCAAATTATTTGATGATTTTGATGTGATATTTTGTTTGCCATTGCTATCACTAGCTAAATGATTCCCCTTTGGTCTGTAGGCTCCCATAGAAAAATGTAGCAAATTTGCAAACAATGACCTACCATTAGAAAACTAGTAGTCTTAATAACTAGAGAATTGCCCTTTGCATCAACGTTTTTCTTTTTTGTCTGAATCTTCTCATAGCTTCTCATGAACTAACAGCAATTACATTCAGGAGAATGAATGTCTGTATGTGTGCATATACATATAATTTATATATAGAATGTTATAATAAAGTCTGAAATTTTTAAAAATATATTTACTATATCTACTATTGATTAATTTACAAAACTGTTTATTAGACTGTAATTTTTAATTGGGTCAAACTTAATTGTTCCTGCCAAATGAAAGGGAGTGTAGTCCAACAGCTAAGTATGTGGACTGCATTGATTGTCATTCTGACAAGCAGAAGTGTACTTATAGGCACAATAGGGCAGAATATTTGAAATCAGGTTTGTCATCCCTTAAAATCTATCACTGTGTGTGTATGTGTGATGTGGGGGGAGGTTGTTTCATTTTTTGCCTCAATCAGTCAATCAATCAATCAATCATCTATGAATCATTTGTTTACCATATTGGTTTACTCTTAGGTATTCCAATGAGGAAAATGGAAAACTCCAAAATCTAGCTGTTGAGCTTAGAGAACAATAAAATTTGAGATGAAATATGTGTGGCCAGAGAAGGTGCTATTAATCCAAAGTAGACTGTAATTCATTTTTCTTAACGCTTAGACTATCTTCCTAAAGACATTGCAGGTCTAAAAGACTGATTTATATTAGTAGTAGGAGAGGAGAACAGAGGAGGAAGGAGAAAGGGGTTTCAGTGCAATGGTAGGGGCCAGAGAGAATGGCAAAGGACAGTGATCTGGCTGTGGTTGTGAGGCTGCCAACAGAGAATTACCAAAGAGAACTTCAGAAATGTCAGAATGTCAATCAGAATTATTGCTCAGAGTTGAATAATTTTTTTTTTTTGTAACAAATTTTCATGCTTAGAAGGTTTTGTTTGTCTCATTACTTGGCCAGTGAATTGACTGGCTCACAATGAAAAATACTTAAGAAAGGAACTTTTTTTTTTTTTTGAGATGGAGTTTTGCTCTTGTTGCCCAGGCTGGAGTGCAATGGCGTGACCTTGGTTCACTGTAACCTCCGCCTCCAGGGTTCAAGTGATTCTCCTGCTTCAGCCTCCAGAGTAGCTGGTATTACAGGTGCCTGCCACCACACCCGGCTAATTTTTTGTATTTTTAGTAGAGATGGGGTTTCACCACATTGGCCAGGCTGGTCTTGAACTCCTGACCTCAGGTGATCTGCCCACCTTGGCCTCCCAAAGTGCTGCGATTACAGGCATGAGCCACTGTGCCTGGCCAAGAAAGGAACTTTGAACAAGGACATCGTAACTATAAATACCACACTTTTATCACTCTGCCATTTTTTCACCCTCAGAACCTAAGGGTGGCCACCAAGTATGTCAGAGTCAGTATTGTGTGTGTGATTTATTTTAAGGAATAAGTTAGTGTGATTGTGGGGCTGTAAAGTCTGGAATCAGTAGGGCAGGCTGGCAGACTGGCAGGCTGGAAACTCCTGAGTAACAGCTAAAGCTGAAACTAAAGGTGCCATCCTTAGGAGAAATTTCTTCCTCAGAGAAATCTCCATTTTACTCTTATGGTCTTTCAACTGATTGGATGAGGCCCACTCACATTATTGAGGATGATGTCCTTTACTTAAAGTCAAAGTTTACTGGAGATGTTCACCACACCTCCACAATGCCTGCACAGCAATACCCAGACTAGTGTTAGATTGGATAACTGGGTGCCACAGCCTAGCCAAGTTGACACAAAAACTATCACCCCAGAAGGCCTCTTCAGACGTGAAATTCCAATTATTATCACTTGAGGAAACTTTTTTCTTTAAGACTTAGTCTTTCAAAGAAATAAGGAATTACTAAAAGATAAGATGCATTTCTTAAATTATACTACAAAAGAGATTTTTCTAGTTTCTTTCTAATTCCTACGTAAATCTAAGTTAATCATAGCTCCATGTCAGACTGACAATTTTTAAAAGTTAATGAAAGATACTGAGTACATCAGTGGACTAGAAATGAGATACTCACATTATCTGATTTTTCCCTCATCTTGTTTCAAACTGAAAATATCTGGGACCAGTGGGAGAAAATTTGATACAGCAACAAAATAAATATCATTCTGATTTTATAAAATGGAACTGGCTTAATTTTTCTTTTCATTATATGGAACTACCAGGATGCTAAACATTTGGGGAGTTATTGACAGAGACAGATAGGATTGACTTTATGAAGATCAAAATGAGAGAAAGTATAATTTATAATAAGTTCAGGAGAAAATTGCTGAAGAACACTATGGTTTCTTCATTTTCTCAAAGTTGTAAGGAAGAATTGGTAGAAACCAAGATTCTTGAGTAACAGAAATTTTGTTTTGATTACTGAATAATAAAATTGTTACTATGCTAACAAAACATGTCATTAATTCAAAAGAAGATCAGGAAGAAAAGAGAACTTAGAAAATGGAGACAAACAGAAAGCACAAAATAAAATAGTACTCTATATCTAAACCCAACTATATTAGTTATTATATTAAATGTAATGAGCTGAATTCTCCAATTCAAATACAAAAATAGAAAAAAAATTCAGTTATATCATGCATACAAAGAACACATCCAAAATATGAGAATATGGAAAGGTTTTAAGTTTCTAAGAATGTAAAACGATGGGAAAATACATCATTCAAATGTGAACCAAAAAACTGTATTAAAGTAGTAATATTAATATTTGATCATAAAAACTTTAAGGTAGGCCAAGGCGGGCAGATCACGAGGTCAGGAGATCAAGACCAGCCTGGCCAACATGGTGAAACCCTGTCTCTATCAAAAATACAAAAAAATTAGCTAGGAATAGTGGCACACACCTGTAATCCCAGCTACTTGAGAGGCTGAGGCAGAAGAATCGCTTGAACCTGGGAGGTGGAGGTTGCAGTGAGTTGAGATCGCACCATTGCACTCCAACCTGGACGACAGAGCAAGACTGCATCTCAAAAAAAAAAAAAAAAAAACTTTAAGGTAAAAATAATTAATGTATATAAGGAGGGTAATTTAAAAATAAAAAATTGTTAAAGTTTTTGAAAATATAATAATTTAAAATTTATGTGCTCTTCATAACATGGCCTCAAAATGTATAAAGGAAAAATTGACAGAAAAAGAAATAATGGGTAAATTCACAATTATAATGAAAACTTTTAATACATCTTTTGAAATAATTGATACGTAAAATTTGGACTACACAATAAATCCATTTGATTTAATAGATTGATTGATTGAATGATCGGTCTATCTAAAATATTGCATCCAACAAATGTAGAATGCACATTCTTTTCAACACTCATGGAATATTTTCAAAAATTGACCATATAGTAGAATATAAAGGAAGCTTTAGCAAATATATAAGGAGAGAACTCAGTTAAGATGTGTGATCTGATCTTAGTGCAATTAATAAAAAATAATAACATAAGTATATATTATGTATAATAATATAAAAGTTCAAAAGACAATAATAATAAAAACAGAAAATTCCCATATGTTTGGATGTGGTAGTGGTTGAGAGGCATGCATAGGACACAGATGTAAAAAGGACACTGTCTTGGTTTGCTGTATGTATTCAGGGATTGTTTAAATTTATTTAAGAAGATATTCACATAGTACTCATGCAATAGAAAAAGCTACTTTGCTGTTGCAGAAAATTTTACTCATACTCCTTCCTTTTCTCTGCCAATGCTAAATAAATTCTTAACCCAAAAGGGTGATTTTTAAAAGACACATGTTCTTTTCAACATAGTTATAAGTTGGACGCAGATTTGGATAAGCTCTCAGTAGTTCATCTGCAGCTGTGTACAAACTTTATCCCGGGTTGTTCAGGCCCAACACAGCTACTCTGAGACCAGATAACTAAAAAAACTAAAAAGAAGCTATACTGCTTTAAGTGAAGAAAGCTCCAGCCCTCAGGTGGAGTCATTTCCGGGCCCTGTGATAAAGCTCAGCTGGGAGGCTCCTCAGTCATTACTACAGGGCAGGAAGGGCACGTTCTCATCAGCATGGTAAGTGACTACACGCCTATGCATTGTTGTAGGAAATTTTACTAATCATATTTGGCCCTTTTCCCACAGCAAACAATTCTTAATAAAATTGTAATGCAAGAGAAGACATTTGTAAAGAAACATTTGTTTCTTTCAATGTCCAAGTAGATGAGTTGGGAGCAGATGTGGACAGGCTGTAATCTATTCCTCTGTAATGTTGCTTCTTTCAAGGTAAAGCTCAGTTGATTTGCAGTAGCTCACTGCCATTAATTGAAGCACTGAAGCAAAAACCTTTCCTTCCTTTAGTTTTCACCTTTGTTTTAGGCCCAGAGTGCTGATTTTTCTGTAGATATTCATTGCTTCACTTTTCGTTAGGCTGTTAAGAGTTTCTGAGGACTTCAGACTTAGGTAACCGTGGCTAACCTCATAAATGCCTGGCAGGGTAAAGTGCGCAGACATCTTCTTTGCCCTCCCTTGAGTTTAGTTCTTTGGGCACCACAATGAATAGAATAACTTACAATAATTCTGTTTTGGGATGACCTTTTCAGATCCATTTGCCCTTTATTTTTTTCTGTGCCAGTTTTTCAGTATCTTTGAATTTTTAATTCTTCAATGGAAGCAACATTTCGAACTGCTTCTTGATCTTTGATTTCTCACCCCATTGGTCTCTCTGTCCAACATTTAAAAAATTTTAAATTGTTTTGCTTTTAAAAATTATGCCTTTCAACATGAGAGAGACTTGTGATAATAGCATGTTCTGTATCTTATCACTGTCAACATTCTGGGTGTGATTTTGTATTATGGTCTTGCAAGATGTTTCCACTGCGGGAAATGGGTAACGGATGCAAGGGATCTTCCTATGTTATTTCTCACAGCTGCATATCAATCTACAAAGACCTCAAAATTGAAAGTTTAACTGAGAGTTATGCTTTTCTAGTAATTCAAATAATCCTTATAGCAGCGTTTAATAATGTGCTATGACTTATCAGTGTTGACGTTCAGTGGACATTTTATAGTCTTCTACTTTATAGTGTGACTAATATTTTCATAGAGAATTTGGAAAAAAAGGGAGAGGCTAAGAGAAGAATAAGGCAAAGATAGTCTTCTACACCCTTGGACAGAGTTATGTTATAAGCTAAGCTCCTTCAAAGACGAAGGATGCTTGTTAGTCCAGGCTATTCGTGCTGATTTCAAAAAGAACAGCATCACTCTGCTTTCTGAGTCACTTGAACAGACCACGTGAAGAGGAACAATCTTTTTTTTTTTTAATGTTAGTGATTATTTTTACTGTGACTATTATGAACAAATACCACATGTACACCTGAATTTTACTCGTCACTGTAACACAGGACTGGGTGGTAGCCAGTGGAGAAGACAGAGAAATCTACATGTAAACTTTACAAAGTAAGAGGTTTTAATGATGTAGAAACAATGAACGTTCACCCTCTCCTTTTAAAATGTTAACTTAAATTTAAGGAGCCAAGTTTTGATCAGATTACAGCAGCTGATGTATTTGCAGCACTTTAAGTCCGACAGAAGGGGAGAGGAATAAGATTAAGGTTATCTGAAGCCTGATAAGGGGTATTCGAAGCCTGTTTATAACAGAATATGCTGTCTTGAGAGGTGGAATATTAGTTTGTCCTAAATGAAGTGCTTTCTAAATTAGAGAGACTGATAGTTGCACAGAAAATAAACAAGATGGAAGCCCTACTAAGGTAGTGAACTTGAATTGGTCATGAAGCAGAGGGCTGTTATGCCTTGTGAATCACAGAGACAAAGTACAAAGGTTTGATGCCATTGAGCATGAACAGAGTCCAAGTCAGATTGCAGGGGTGTGGCCGACCAGAGCCCTCTCCTTACTTTCCTCTGACTAGTGGTCTGTGTAGACCAGTGGTCCTCAACTTTTTGGCACCAGGAACCAGTTTTGTGGGACACAATTTTTCCATGGAGTCGGCAGTGGGGATGGTTTCTGGATGAAACTGTTCCACCTCAGATCGTCAGGCATTAGTTAGATTCTCATAAGGAGCACACAACCTAGATCCCTTGCATGCGCAGTTCACAATAGGGTTAGTGCCCCTATGAGAATCTAATGCTGCCGCTGATCCGACAGGAGGCAGAGCTCAGTCAGTAATGCTCACTCACCTGCTGCTCACCTCCTTCTGTAAAGCCCAGTTCCTAACAGGGCACAGACTGGTACTGGTCTGTGGCCCGGGGGTTGGGGACCCCTGTGTAGACCACAGGTGAGGGATTGACAGGAGGCCTGAGGTCTTTCAGTAGTTGAATCTCAGGCTTTAGGGCAGTGTAGCCATGAACAAGGGCAGGGCTCCCCTCAGCTTATCTGGTCAAACAGCCCAAAGGGTCCTGATGATGCAGAAGACATGGGGGTCTCATTCTACAAGACCCTCTAAATAGATTTGTTTCAGCACCACAGTCAATCAAACCACACCAATATTAAGAACAGCGATTGCTATCACCTCAGATTTCTTAGAATTTAGCTTTTACTTTCCTTCTCATTTTTTTTCTTTCCTTCTCTTAAAAACGTAGATCATTGTCTGTTTAACAGAATAGTTGTTTGCCTTAAAAAAAAGATGATTTAAAGTGGGATGGGGGAATATGAAGGTGGAAGAAATAGTAAAGTTTAGACAAGAAAATAAAATCACTACCCAGATATTACTAAACTTAATATCTTGATGCATTTTCTTTTAGATTTTTATGCCTATTTTTGAACATATTGGACATCATACTCTATATGCAATCATGCATCTTATGTGCTTTTTACTTAATATGTTATCATAAGCATTTCCCATGTCATAAATCTTTTTTTTTTGGGAAAACGTTTAAGGGTTGCATAACATGTCATTGTGTTGATGTAACATCCTTTAAATGCTCAACAATATATAAATGGTTAGATTAAATAGATTGGTTTTTGGTTTTCATGCTTATGAATTGTGATGCTTGTGAATGCCATCAGCCTACATCCTTGCATTTTAGAGTCTTTCTTTTGTAATTTGTTTGTTTATATCATTTGCCTAGCTAGTGGATGTCTTAAGTGTTTTTTTTTAGAAAGTTGATGTATATAAAATCAATTTTTATCTCTATATGTTTGTTATAAAACTTTTACATTTTGGAACTGTTAAATCTATTGCATTTTGCCTTGTAAAATTTCCCACTAGTTTTAAGTTTAGTATATCCATCCTTATTCAGAGTGCATATGAATGGTAAAGATAACATTTTAAATTTATCTGCGATGAGTTTTAGTACTTGACAAGGCTATATATTGATT
This sequence comes from Homo sapiens, assembly GCF_000001405.40. Classification (NCBI taxonomy): domain Eukaryota; kingdom Metazoa; phylum Chordata; class Mammalia; order Primates; family Hominidae; genus Homo; species Homo sapiens. The sequence continues at coordinate 5,401,527 of NC_000010.11, read as the reverse complement.
TTAGTTTTATTTCTTTCCAATAACTAGCTAATTTTATTTCTAGACAAGCCCACTTGATATATATAACTACACGCACACACACACACACACACACACATCTCACCTATATTGAAAGAATAAAGTAAAATTAGTTGTATTTTGATTTGCATTGTGTGTGTTTGTCTTAATTCAATTCTTAGCCAAGTACAGAGTAGGTGCTTAATTTATGTTGTTAAAATAAACTTTTTAATGGAATTTAAATCCCAGGTTTAATTTTCCCTGAAGCTTAGCTGTACCCTGGGTCTTGGTTTCCATGAAACGCTTTTGATTATCCTTATAACACATTCCTCCGTGGCCTTAAGCTAGCTTGGTTTCTGTCATTTGTAACCAGAAGGGCTGAGTAACAGATCTCCTGTTTTCTAAACACCTGCTCAGTTCCAACTCACCATGACTTATTTTAGAGGGAGTGCCTTTCCATCCACATCGGTCAAGCTGGCATCCAGATTGGGGACGCCTGCTGGGAACTCTATTGCCTGGAACATGGAATCCAGCCAAATGGCGTTGTTCTTGACACTCAACAGGATCAGCTGGAAAATGCAAAAATGGAGCACACAAATGCATCTTTCGATACCTTCTTCTGTGAGACAAGAGCTGGGAAGCATGTGCCTAGAGCACTCTTCGTGGACTTGGAGCCAACTGTTATAGGTACAATAAATGTTCCATTCTAGCATACTTAACTGGAGCCACACTCAAACAAATCAAGTGGATGGGATTAGCAGATTATACAGGTCTATCTGAATGGAATCACATGGACCTTTCCCAAATGTAGAGGCTTACTCAGTGGCCATGGGTGATTAACATGACAAACACACCCAAAGGGAAGACCAGATTAGTGTTTTTGAATTTAAATTTATTTATTTATTTATTTTGAGATGAGTCACTCAGGCAGGAGTGCAGTAGCGTGATCTGGGCTCACTGCAACCTCCGTCTCCTGGGTTCAAGCAATTCTCCTGCCTCAGCCTCTGAGTAGCTGGGATTACAGGCACACACCATCATGCCTGGTTAATTTTTGTATTTTTAGTAGAGATGGAGTTTCACTATGTTGGCCAGACTGGTCTTGAACTCCCGACCTCAAGTGACCCACCTGCCTTAGTCTCCCAAAGTGCTGGGATTACAGGCGTGAGCCACCACACTTGGCCTAGGTTAGCCTTCTTTACCTGTGTGATGAAATGAATTAAGACCTGCTAATTGATCCACACATATATCATAATAGAACACTAAGTCTTTTCCTGGGTTTGAGAGCCATTTGCTAGAAGGCACTGGCAAAGAATCAAAAAGTTTTTCGATAGCTGCTTAAAAAGAGTAGAATATTTGAAAAGAATCCTAAAGGAAAAAGAGGCCAAATATATACCCTAGTTATGGGAAAAACAGTACAATTTTATGATTACTAACAATAGACTTGTAGTATGTCATGCAAAAACTCTTGAAATGGAGCTAGAAAAATAAAGGAGAGAGAAGGGGCTCTTACTGACTTAAGAGAAAAGCTAGACAGTGGGGTAGATTTGGGTTTGATGTTGTGCATCCCATTATTTGTTGGCGTGTAATAAACTTCCCCTACATTTAGTGGTTTAAGGCAATAATGATTGCTGGTTTGTTCATGAATCTACAGTTTGGGTGGGGCTCAGAGGTGACAGCTCGCCTGTGCTCCATGTGGTACCAGCTTGGAAGGCTCAAGTGGGAACTGGGGCATCCACTTTGAAAGTCACTCATTTACATCGCTGCCCCTTGGTGCTGGCTGTTGACTGAGAGAGTGGGAGGGGTGGAGAAAAGGAGAGGCTGACGAATTCAAGGTCATGATAAGAAGGAATTGAATACAACCCCATAAACACTTCAGCTGGGTGATAGAAGTACAAAGATGAATAAATGTTGATTTTTGCCTTCGACGTGAAGATGCCTGTCTTGGTCAACTCGGACTGCTGTATTGGAACACCATGGACCCGGTGGCTTAGACAACAGTTGTTGATTTCTCACGATTCTGGAGGCTGGAAGTCTGAGACCAGGGTGCCTGGTGGTTGGCTTCTGGTGAAGGCTCTCTTCCCAGCTTGCAGATGGCTGCCTTCTCACTGTATTCTCATATGGCAGAGAAATAGTCTGTGTCTCTTCTTATAAGGGCCCTAATCCCATAATGAAGTCTCTACCCTTATGACCTAATTACTCACAAAGACTCACCTCCAGATACCATCACATCAGGGATTAGGGATTCAACGCATGAATTGTGGGGGGACACAGCCATTTAGTCCACAGCAGCTATTGTTTACTAGTTGGGGAACTGCACAGGTATTTTCCTCTAATTCTTTCAACACTCTGTCAGGAGACATTATTATCATCCTCAATTTATAGATGAGGAACTTTATAAATCTTGGGGAAGTCAAGGAACTTGCTTAAGATCACTGAGTTATTAGAGTAGAGCTGGGTTTGGTCCTAGGTTTGCCTTCTTATTAAATCTATTGTCTTTTAACAGGAAAGTAGCCTAATCTAGTGAATAAGAAAAAATAAATAGTTATAACAACACTGTTGAAATTGAGCCATATAAAATTGCCAGTATATGACTATTTTTTAATCTAAAAAAGTTAATTGTATTGTATATGATACAACTTAATAGACATTTCTACAACAAGTGTGTCCAATAATTTGACCTCCCTGGGACACATTGGAAGAAGAAGAATTATCTTGGGCCACACATAAAATATACTCACACTAACAACAGCTGATGAACCAAAAAAAAATATTGCAAAACGATCTCATAATGTTTTAAGAACGTTTACCAATTTGCGTGGGAATGCATTCAAAGCCATCCTGGGCTGCGGGATGGACAAGCTTGCTCTGCAAGGCAGAAGGAATGAATAACCGGGGAGTCATCCAATATGTTTGTTTGTTTGTTTGTTTTTTAGAGCGAGAGAGACTGGGTCTTGTTCTGTCACCCAGGCTGGAGTGCAGTGGCGTAATCATAGCTCAGTGAACTCCTGGGCTCAAGCAGTCTTCCCACTTTGGGGTCCTGAGTAGCTTGGACTACAGGCACATGTCACTACATGTGGATAAGTTTTTTTTTTTTTTTTTTTTTTTTTTTTGAGACAGAGTTTTGCTCTTTTTGCCCAGGCTGGAGTTCAATGGCACTATCGCTGCTCACTGCAACCTGTGCCTCCCGGGTTCAAGCAATTCCCCTGCCTCAGCCTCCTGGGTAGCTGGGATTACAGGCACATGTCACCATGCCCTGCTAATTTTGTATTTTTAGTAGAGACAGGGTTTCACCACGTTGGCCAGGCTGGTCTTGAACTCCTGACCTCCAGTAATCCACCTGCCTCGGCCTCCCAAACTACTGGGATTATAGGCAAGAGCCACTGCACCCGGCCAATTTTTTGTTTTTTATAGAGATAGGGTCTCACTATATTGCCCAGGCTAGTTTCAAACTCCTGACCTCAAACAATCCTCTCACCTTGGCCTCCCAAAGTGCTGGGATTCCAGGCATGAGCCACCACACCCAGCCTCACACACCTTCTCATGAGGTGACAGCATTTGCAAATTCAGAGTCATGAAGGAATGCCCCGCAAGTGTAACCAGGAGTTCAGCTTGGCCAGGCATAGGTGTGAGCAGGAGCTCAAAGCAGGGGATGAGTCTGGGAAGATGGTCTGGGGCAGGCTCAAGGGTGAAGTTAGGGCAAAGTGAGGAAGTTGTGGTCAGAAAAAGGAATTTGCATGTTTAAGATTTTGGAAGTGGGAGAGTTCTGAGTGATGATGATTGAAGTGGAATGCAGCTGACTGACACCGTAGTTAAGGAAGCTAAGGAGCCATCATGTAATTGTTCAAAAGCCATTGATGTCTCTGAGGATATTGATTAAGGGCACCATGCTGGGTAGTAAAGCCCCTGAGCAACCTGTGCCCGGGAAGTTAGAGTGGATGGCATGGATTACTTATGAACGGCAGGTGCTGCAACCACTATGCCCTGAGATAATGGATTTTATGGAAATAAATTATGAACCTATTGACCCTCAAGATCCCGACTCAACATTGTCATGAAGAAGGAAGCTTCCGTAAATTACCTTCTTAGCCTGAATGCAGCCTTATAGCTTCAGATAAGAAGGAAATAGTCCACCCAGAATTACACTTTCACTTATATCTTGTTTATAAATATATCTTTTAAACATCCTAGCTCTGGGGGAGGTTTGTGTGTAAGCTAGTTAAAAGTTATTTAAACTCAATTTCAATAAATATTATTTGAGAGGTTGCAAAATTGGAGTTTAGAAATTCATGGTCACGCACGGAAGGCACGGTGAATTGAAAAACAATCGTGCTCTTATTAAACAGAAACACAATGCATTTCTCCTTAGGCTGTGAGCTTCTAGGACTGGCTCAGCTATCTGCTGCCAAGGCTGGTGGTGTATAATGAGGTAAATCTGCATAAATGCATGTCATGAAGCCAGTTCTATCATTGTTACTTATAATTGCTGTTGTTATATGGGCCGTGCGTTGTGCCCTATGTTCTCGTAACAGCTCAATGGGGTAGATCTTGTTATAATCCTTATTTATGAGCTAAAATCATTGACTAAGTAACTTCTCTCTAGCTTAGTGAGGAAGGCAAGATAGGAACCCAGGAAACTGATTCTTGAAACATGCATTTAACTACTAAGCAATGCAGTATCCCACAGTAACCAGGGCAGCCGTCCCAAAGCCTACTTAGCCCTGAAACACTGCTGTTTAATCATCAGGAATAATGCTATTTGAGTAATTCTAAGGTGGAGGAGTAGGGCATGCTGCCCAGGTTTTTAAAAGGCAATGAGACCTGGCAGGGGCTACCCTCAGTTGTATTGGATACTGCCAACATCTTAACGCCAATTGTCCTGCGTCATGCATTTATGCACTCAGCATTTGGGTCGTGTGGGCATTTGAGTTTGCCGTGCCTTCCCTGTTAAATCCTCTTTTAAAGCAGATTTAAAAGATGGATATTCCTTTATTTTTTAAAATTCATTTTATTTTATTTTACTTTTTTTTGAGACAGAATTTCACTCTTGTTGCCCAGGCTGGAGTGCGATGGCGTGATCTCCACTCACTGCAACCTCCTGGGTTGAAGTGATTCTCCTGCCTCAGTCTCCCGAGTAGCTGGGATTACAGGCACCCACCACCATGCCTGGCTAATTTTCTGTACTTTTAGTAGAGACAGGGTTTCACCATGTTGGCCAGGCTGGTCTCAAGCTCCTGACCTCAAGTGATCCACCTGCCTCAGCCTCCCAAAGTGCTGGGATTACAGGTGTGAGCCACTGTGCCCTGGATATGCCTTTCTGTGTGCCTTTCCAGCACACAGTTCGCAATTTGTAGATAAAAATACTTGTCTCAAAATGCCAATGTGTCCTAGGGTGGGCAGTGGGTTGAAGTGTGTCCCCCCAAATTCATACCCATCTGCAATCCCAGAATGTGACTTTATTTGGAAACAGGGTCTTTGCTGATGTAGCTAGTTAAAATGAGGTCCTCCTGGATTAGGGTGGGCCCTAATGCTAAAGAATTGTGTCCTTATCAGAGGAGAGAGCACAGACACACATACAGGGGAAAAGGCTTGTATGCCAGAGGTAGAGATTGGAAGGGGGTAGCTAGAAGCCAAGGAGAGCTAAGAATTGTAAGTCACCCGGTGCCAGGAGAGATGTTTGGACCAGACGCTCCCTGGGGCCTCCAGCAGGAACCAAGCCTACCAACGCCTTGATGTTAGACTTCCAGCCTCTGGAGCTGTTAGGAAATAAATTCCTATTGTTTTAAGCCATGATGTTTGTTGTCATTGGTTATGGCAGCACTAGGAAACTAATAAGGGGTGCATGGTAGAAAAACATACTTTCCATGTATATGTAAAAAATTCCACTTCTCCTGGACTAAGACGGGCTAATTCAGCACTATCTAAATTCCATTCCTGGACCACAATATTGAGAGAAAGCATGGGAGTCAAGTACGGGGAGGCTCCAGGAGGACTAGCAGCAGGTGGACGGCTGAATTGCACTGGGTGAGTTGCACTGACCTCCTTTCACCCTCTGCAGATGGGATCCGGACGGGCCAGCACCGTTCACTCTTCCACCCCGAGCAGCTCCTTAGCGGAAAGGAGGATGCTGCTAACAATTACGCGCGAGGCCGTTACTCTGTGGGGTCGGAGGTCATCGACCTTGTGCTGGAGAGGACCCGGAAGCTGGCAAGTGGCTCCCCCTCTCCTCCGAGTGGGCTGTGCCTGGGGCATGTGGGGTCCTGCGGCAGAACTCACAAGCATTATCTGCTGTCACCATCGCCACCAACCGTCTCTCCCTGGGCTCTGGTCTGGGTGCTCAGAACTGGGGAGGGGTTCTCATCTTGGCTTTGATTTCCCCTTGTTACTAGGAAGGAGACAGAAACTTTTATACTTACTGGGGGGTCCCCTGATCACCTGATCATCCCTGGTTCTCCTAACACAGGGTTCATCTTGTTACGAGAGACTCCCATAGCACTCTAAAACCTGTCACTTTCCAAGAGTAACCTGTCATTTTCCAAGAGTAACTGATGTTTATGAAGTTAGCAAGAGGCACTCCCTATCTGGAGATGCGTGACTCTATTTACTGATAATTAATTCCTCTTTAGGGGCCTGAGTCTGGAGACCCTTTGCTAAGTAAGAGTTTTGGTGTTTGTCATATTTGTTAGCTACTACAACACCTTTTACACCAGCATGCCAGATGGAGCATAGACGTGGGGGGAATGTTATTTTGCTTCAGTGTTTTGTCATTTTCTTTGTTATTGATGAAGGCCTTGTTTGCGATCACATACCGATAAATGCACAGAGGTCAGTGAAAGACAGGTGGATATTTATGCTCTGCTTATAGTAAAGCTCTGAAGTGCTTTGCCTACTCCAGAAGTCCCCTTGAGAGTATTTCAAAGTAGCTATGTTTGTTGTGGAGTTAACAAAGGCAAAGGAGTCCTTTCTGAAAGATTTTGTTTTGGGGAAACCTGTTGTATCCTGCCACTACTGTCCAATTCACTGCTTCTGGATTTATTCAGCTGAATTCTCACATCTCATTTACTTTCTCCAGGCAGAACAGTGTGGTGGACTTCAGGGATTTTTGATTTTCCGAAGCTTTGGAGGAGGCACTGGTTCAGGGTTTACGTCTCTCTTAATGGAGAGGCTCACAGGAGAATATAGCAGAAAGACTAAGCTGGAGTTCTCGGTCTACCCAGCCCCCAGGATCTCCACTGCTGTGGTAGAGCCTTATAACTCTGTCCTCACCACCCACTCCACCACAGAGCACACGGACTGTACCTTCATGGTGGACAACGAGGCCGTCTATGATATATGCCATCGTAAACTCGGTGTTGAATGCCCCTCTCATGCCAGCATCAATAGATTGGTGGTTCAGGTGGTATCTTCCATCACTGCCTCCCTCCGGTTTGAAGGGCCCTTGAATGTAGACCTAATTGAATTCCAGACCAACCTGGTACCTTATCCGAGAATACATTTCCCCATGACAGCCTTCGCCCCCATCGTCTCTGCTGACAAAGCCTACCATGAGCAGTTCTCTGTGTCAGACATCACCACTGCCTGCTTTGAGTCCTCCAACCAGCTGGTCAAGTGTGATCCTCGGCTTGGGAAGTACATGGCCTGCTGCCTACTCTATAGAGGGGATGTGGTCCCCAAGGAAGTGAATGCAGCAATCGCAGCCACGAAGTCGAGGCACTCTGTTCAGTTTGTAGATTGGTGTCCAACTGGTTTCAAGGTGGGCATCAACAATCGGCCGCCCACGGTGATGCCGGGTGGGGACCTGGCCAAAGTCCACCGGTCCATCTGCATGCTGAGCAACACCACGGCGATTGTGGAGGCCTGGGCCCGCCTGGACCACAAGTTTGACCTCATGTACGCCAAGAGAGCATTTCTGCACTGGTACCTCAGAGAAGGCATGGAAGAAGCAGAGTTCTTGGAGGCCAGGGAAGATCTGGCAGCCCTGGAGAGGGACTATGAGGAAGTGGCGCAAAGTTTCTGAGGCATGTATGATGGGTGCAAATGAATGTCAAGTTAAAATGGCATGTTTTCTTTTCAAGCCGTTATATGCCTAGTGGGTAGTTCCCCTGATGAGCAGAAAAATGAACTCAAATCAGGCAAGACTCTAGGTTCCACACTAAATTAAGTGGGTCAGTACCAACAATGAACACATTATTTCCTGGTCTACTGGTACAAGTCAGCTCTGCTACCTGGGAGCCTTTGGAAGCTTAGAGTCCTTTGAACTGCTGAGTCACTTCTAGGTGGGATTTTTTTGTTTTACCAAGAGACAATGAAATCCTGAAGTTTATGCTTTTCCTTTCTGGTACCGGAAGTAGAAAACAGCACATGTTGATTACGAATGTTTTTTCCCCCATGTCTACATTTTTTACACTGATTAAATCATAAATATTTTCAGTATGATTCTTATTCTTCTTTGAAATGTGTGCCCAAAGGGCTCAGTTTGCTTTTTATGTAAACAAATTTGGGTCTTTCTAAAACTTGAATTTGGGTGTCCTGCACGTCAGAGGTGAGAGCCGTCTCTTCCACTTCCCTTTCCTGGAGGTGGTGTTCTCAAAGTGTCGCCCGCTTAACTCTGTGCCAGAGTCACTTCAGAAGTTTAGTAAAAATGCAGATCGTTGAGCTTCTCTATTGACTTGCTAAGCTAGAATCCTGGGGGCTGGAGGGCCTGTGTCCTAAGGAGTTGAGATATACAAAAACACTAAATGGAATTAATTTTTGCCACCGAATAGTTCCATTTGAGAAAATAATTTACTCTGGACAAAGCTATAAATGCATTAAAACCACTAGTGAGATTTTAAATAACCACAATATTTTGTCTCACTAATACTTGGAATTAAGGCAACTTAGATGCTGCAAAGGTACTGAGTTGGGCTGAGGTGTTGCTCTTGGACTGATGGTAGATAATCCTCAGGAGCCTCATCCACCTGCACTGTTTAACCTGTCAGCCCTCACCCTTCAGCTATACTCTTGGCCTCAACCGGGTACATGCTTTTGGCTCAGGTAGACATCGGAAGATAGGAGGCACTAAAGCCTTGGCTGGAGGCATGAAGTTGTGTATCTGTTTTGAGATTCCTCAAACTACAAGGCTACTACCTTCTTGCTTGTGCAACTGGACTCAAAAATGAATGCTCTGTATTGTTTTTTTTTTTTGGTAAGATCTATTTTTTGAGTATTTATAGGTTCTCAGCAACATTGAGTGGAAAGTATAACCCTCCATTTCTAACAGTTTCTTGGGAGATTCTTTTACATACTAAAATCACTCCCCTGAGATGTGGCCTTTAAGAGTGGTACTCAAACAATGTACCATTTTGCCTGCTTTCAGTTGAAACCATTCTCACCACGGAAGCCAATGACCACTGTTTGGTGGAAATGATATTTAGCTACTCTTCAATGCCAGTAAGGATTTTTTTTTTTTCCCAGCACAGACAACTATCGCTGAGTTTTTGCTCAGTCGCCAAGTCTCTAAGTATCTGGCTGTGTCCCCTTTGGACTCCACTTCCAAGCTTCTCTGCCAAGGGCTCAACTTCTGTTCACATGAAAACAACCTCATAGCAGGGTTGTGTTTGGAGCCTGTTAATTGAGATGTGCCAGGATTCCTGGTATAGTAACAGGGAAAGGAACATGACTGTCATTCTCATGTCTCTGACTTGATGGGATCAAACATTTGGAGGAAAGTAAGTTAAAAAAATTATTTTGTCCAAACAAAAGGAATGATTTGGTGAACTTTAGTGTGTCTTCACTATATCCAACATAGACCAACAATATCTAGAATTGGCTCTTTATTGAAGTGTGGAAGAAAACTGTTACTGAGCAAAAGGGCTTGCTGCCTAATGTGCTAGAAGCCAACAGTGTCACATTGCGTTTTTGAGAAAAGAAAGGCTTTTATTGTGAATTGACCAACAAGAAGATAGAAATTCAGCTCAAATCTGTCTCCCTGTGCTGGGTCTAAGACAGTATTTTTATTAGAAAAGCTTTAGTGGCTAGGTTCTGGGATTAGTAGGTGATTGGTGGAAGTAAAGGAAAGGTCTGGAAGGTCTTCATGCTTCCTCATGGGTTATTTCCTCATGCTTCCTCATGGGACGCATGTACAAAATGAGGAGACGTTAGTATGAAACATGGTAGAAGTTGCGGCTGCTACATCAGCAAGCTCATTCTGCACAGACTCTGGTTGGCCATATTGGTTCAAACCAATTTCAGCTAGTTAAAAAAATATCTTATAAGCAGAGGTAGTTTCAGCATTTTATCAAGTTCTTTCTTTTCTTATCTGCCATCCTGAAAACTCAATAATTTCTGTTAGTCATTGGTTTCTTCAACTCTTTGGAGCACAGTTTCAAAACCTTGTTCAATGGAAAGAATCTATACTATTATTATCATTGTTTTAAATAATGGATGTTGGCTTAGATTTAGCCTCCTAGTTTAGTTCTCTGGCACTCTTCATTCCTTCTTGCATTACTATGCTTCCATCTGGGATTATTTCCCTTTTGACAAAATAACTCATTTTAGCAATCTTTTAATGTAGATCTGCCAGCAGACAATCCTCTCTATTTTTATTTTTCTCTAAACATGTCTAGGTTACCTTCATCTTTAAATGATATTTTCTCTGGGTATAGAATTCTAGGTTGACAGTTACTTTGTTTCAGCATTTTGAAATACGCCATTCCATAGTTTTCTGGCTTTCATTATTTCTATTGAAAAGTCAGCTGTTGATCTTATTGTATCCTGGAAAGTAGTGTTTTTTGTTTTGTTTTGTTTTGTTTTTCCTTTGGTGATTTAACAGTGATGTGCTTGGGTGTGTTTTTATTATGTTCATCCTACTTGAACTTTTTAGAGCTATTAGAATCTGTGGCTTGATGTCTCCTATCAGTTTTGGAAGATGCTTGGCCAATAGTTCTTCAAATATCATTTGAGTTTTCTTTCCTTTCCTTATGTGACTTAGACTACACATATAATTCCTTTACATTGTCCCAAATGTTGCATGCACTTTTTTAAAAAAATATGTTTTATCTTTTTTCTACCTCTCTACTTCCAACTATATATTTTCTACCTTACATAAGCTTTGGAAAATACTATGTGGAAATAATTTGATCTGTTCTATTAAACCCCAAAGACATTTCAGTTATGTTTGTTGGTAGTTGTTAGATCTTTCTTTTTCATTGAAAATCCAATTGAACAGATACAGATCCATGTAATTTATGAATAATTCTATTACTGAATATTTTGCATACAGGCAAAAGTCCATTTTTTAGTAGAGTTTAAAGTAGCTATACTTTTGACAATTTATTCCAATGATAGTTGTAAAAACTATGAAGAGTTGATAAGAATGTTTGTGCTTGGCAAGACAGAAGCCCAGGGACATGAAATAACCTGCTTAATGTTATAAGTCCATAGGATGCATTAAAGCAATGAATTAAATATTGTTTTATAAATTCTATGTAACTTTCAGGGCCTTAGTTCTATTTATCTTTGGGCATTACAAATTCTCTATATTGTTTTTATTTTCATTCTTTTCTTATTTCTTCTATGACACTCTTTCAAGAGAGCAGAGCATTATTCTTAATGTTTGTAGTTTTGGCATCTGACACAGTGCCATGCATATAGTAGATAGTAATGTCTGTTGAAGATATATTGATATTCCTGAAGGATCTAGGAAGCATATTAGGGTATATATTATCCCTCTTATTGTCTTATTTTTTATGGTTCTGTACTTCTTAAATTTTGCATTTATGAGAGGTGGACCAAGGACATTTGAAAAGACTCAAGGATTTGTGAAGTAAGATATGGCAGAAGCCATATTTTATATCAGCAGTTAAATACAGGAAATGACACTATGTTCTAGCCCAATATTCATTATCAACACTGTCTGTTGAGACTTTGGCAAACTCACTTAATGTACTTTGGCTGAATATTTAACATTGGGGTTAAGAAGGAATAATATTTGCCTTTCTCCCTCAAGGAGTGAGGAGGAGGTCATTGGAATAATGGTTGAGATAACTTTGAGGACTATAAACACTAATTAAACGTGATCTTGAGGTAGGAGATACCGTATTCATCTGTGTATTTGTAGTGTCAGGCATATTGCAGGCACTCCAATATTTACTAAATTGGAAAGTACCTTATTTCCTACCCTACTGTAATCACATCTATCTGATTTTAACTTCTAATATTCCTCTTCAATCTCCTCCTTAAAATTATTTTGAATCTTCACATATCCTCTACAGTCCCTGAGGAAAAATATTCTTTCCAAGACCATTGGTTATCCATGCACCTTCTCTCCTGACTCCTGCCTTCTAGGAGGCCTTGCTCCTTTGATCTCTCTTGTACATTCCATCTCCCTTTCTCCATTGATTTATTTTCTGTCCCCTACTTATAGGTTCAGTCTCCCCATTCAGAAAACCACCTTTATTCTGGATTCTGCTATCCCTGCAATGTGCTATCACATCTCTCCACTCTACGAAACTTTTAAAAAGGATATGCGTGTGACGCCTCCAGTGCATCCTCTGTTTGCTCCCAGCCTTTGTAATTTGGTGTCTTTCCACCACTCTACTGATGCTGTTGTCTTGAAGATCACCCATAATGCCTTATTCATCAAAGCAATGACTTTCTCAGCCTTCAGGTTGCTTGACCTTAATCATTTGCTGATTCTCATGAAACCTTTCCTTTGACTCTGTGACACTACTTGGTGCTTTTCCTATGTCTGAGATCTTCCCAGACTCTCCTTCTATACTGTCTCATTTTTTAAAAAAAATGTATTATTATTATTTGACATGGGGTCTCACTCCATTGCCCAGGCTGGAGTGCAGTGGCGTGTTCATGGATCACTGCAGCCTCAACCTTCTGGGCTCAAGTGGTCCTCCTGCCTCAGCCTCCTGTGTGGCTGGGATCACAGGTGTACCCCACCACACCTAGCTAGTTTTTTTTTTTTTTTTGTATTTTTTGTAGAGACAGGGTTTTGCCATGTTGCCCAGGCTGATCTCGAACTCCTGGGCTCAAGTGATTCTCCCTCCTCAGCCTCCCAAATGCTGGGATTACAGACATCAGCCACTGCATCCGACCTTCTAAACTGCCTCCTTGTCTTCCTCTAATGGAGACACACTTGGTTCTCTCCCCTGCCCTTATTTATGTTACTCACAACCACAGTATCACTATGCGGTAACTGTTACAACTGTCTAAGTTTTCTTTCTTTCTTGAGTCTTATACTAAAATTTCCGCCCACTTGTTGGACCTATCCTCACAGATGTTTTAGCTACACTTAAATTTAACTTCCCCCTGGAAAAACTGTTTTTTCAAATGAAATCTGTTCTTCCTTCAGTGGTTATGGCATCGCTTTCCCACTTAAGCAGGTCCTAGGCAACATCATCATTTTTGACTGTGCCCCAGCCCATTGCTTGCTCTCTATGTAGTATTAGATTACGTTCAGCCTCCCTACGTATTGTAAGTTGGGTCTAAATGTTTCTCTGTACATGGTGTAAATGAAAAAAGTATCTGAGACAGGTCTCAATCAATTTAGAAGTTCATTTTGCCAGGGTAAAGGACATGCTTGAAAGAAATAAACATGGAATCACAGAAACAGTCTGCAGTCTGTGCCTTTCTGCAAAGATGACTTTGAGGGTTTCTTTTTTTGAGACAGAGTTTCACTCTTGTTGCCCAGGCTGGAGTGCAGTGGTGTGAACTCGGCTCACTGCAACCTCTGCCTCCTGGGTTCAAGTGATTCTCCTGCCTCAGCCTCCCGAGTAGCTGGGATTACAGGCGCATACCACCATGCCTGGCTAATTGTATTTTTAGTAGAGACGGCCTTTCTTCATGTTGGTCAGGCTGGTCTCGAACTCCCAACCTCAGGTGATCCGCCTGCCTTGGCCTCCCAAAGTGCTGGGATTACAGGTATGAGCCACCACACCTGTCCGAGGGTTTCAATACTTAAAAGGGAAGGGTGGGCTGGAGATGAAAGAGAGAGGGTATGGTCCCATTACCGGATCCACATGTTCAGGAGAAAGGGAGCACGTGGGCGAATAGTCACTGATATTTTCGTCTTGTGCTCAGTAAATTGCCACCTTATATAAGATAAGGTAACCCTAGAGTAGCTACCAGTGAAGGAGATATTTAACCTTTTGTCTGTAGCTGTCTGAGTAAGAACAAAAGGAAAGGCAGCTTGTTGTATGACTCAGCTTTCAGCTTAACTTTTTTCCTATGGCAGAGTGAATTGGGGTCCTATGTTTTTATTTTCTTTTCACAATTGTGAACTGTGACCTAACGGGATGTGTCAACAGTCTGTCACCTTCTCTCTCTCTTTATTATTATTATTATTATTATTATTTTGAGACAGAGTTTCACTCTTGTTGCCCAGGCTGGAGTGCAGTGGCGCTCTCTTGGCTCTCTGCAACCTCCACCTCCTGGGTTCAATCAATTCTCCTGCCTCAGCCTCCCCAGTAGCTGGGATTACAGGTGCGTGCCATGGCTGGCTAATTTGTGTCATTTTTAGTAGAGATGGGGTTTTGCCATGTTGGCCAGGCTGGTCTCGAACTCCTGACCTCAGGTGATGCACTTGCCTTGGCCTCCCAAAGTGCTGGGATTACAGGTGTGAGCCACCATGCCTGGCCTGTCACTTACTCTTATAGTTTCAGCCAACTGCATGTAGCCAACTGTTCAAACTGTGTTCAAAGAAGGCAGAGGCCGAGGTGTAATCCATCCAGCTGTACCTCACTTCCATTTTCCATATGTCACTGTCCTTTTTCTGTGCATTAAATCCAACCATGTGGCTGCTCTGGAGTCATTCTGAACCTATTCTGGTTCCAGGGCTGCCTGATTCTTGAATTGTTCTTAGCTCAATTGAACTCTGTTAAATATGATTTGTTTAAAGTTTTTATTTTAATAGAAGAATGAATTCCATCAATTCTACTTTGGTAATGTGTCCAGAACACATTCCCTTCTTTCTCTTCAACTATTCTCCCCTTCACCAGTGCACTGGGGTCTAAATGCTCTTCTGCTTTTCGTTTTGTCTTCCTGACCCAACCGACCCACTACTCTCCGACTGAACCTTCTGAAGCACAGCTTGGATTACCCTGCTCCTTCGCTCAAAGCTTTAATGATTCCCCATCGCCTGAACCTAAGGCCCAAACTCCTGTGTGTGGCACGCAGAGACTGTCCCAGCAAGCTCTGACTCAAACTTCTCTTCCATTCTTCACTGTCATTGTGTGCGTTCCATTCCAACCAGACTTGCCCCCGTTTCCCAGCATATCCTTTTTCCTCCATGATCATGTGATGTGTGGGGGCCACGGCCATTGGTCCCCTCAAGGTTTGCTGGAAAATCACTGGCATGAGGCAGATTGATTAACAGGAGAAAATGCAAACAAATTTGTTTAATGTGTATATACGGGAGCCTTCAGGATGAAGACTCAACTGTTACCGGAAAGGGGTCCTGATCCAGACCTCAAGAGAAGGTTCTTGGATCTCGCATAAAAAACAATTCAGGGTAAGTCCACAGGGCAAAGCAAAAGCAAGTTTATTAAGAAAGTAAAGTGGTGAAAGAGCGGCTACTCCATAGACAGAGGAGGATGGTCCCGAAAGTAAGAGGAGGAACCTGTCTACCCTAGGTATAATACTTGTTTATATATAATATTAAATCATCATGGGAGATATGCTCTGCTACAAGGATTTGTGATAAAGGATTAATTTTCTAATTACTATATTTTGCAAAAATTGATATTATTATCATTAAAGGAAAATTAGGAATGCTTCTGTTCTCAAGATATCGGGATATCAGGACACTCCTAAGTCTGCCTCTATTTAGTAAACATTAATTATCTGTTTCCTTGACCATAAACATCTAGAGACTACGAATATCTAACTTTCTGGGAATGCAGCCCAGCAAGTCCCAGCCTCATTTTCTAGCCCTCACTCAAGATGGAGTCGCTCTGGTTTGAACACCTCTGACACAACTTTCCAAAGAGGTACAGGAACTTATGTCCTATCTTGAGGCCACAGTAAAGAGGGCAGACTCGGAGCAGGGCCAGAAACAGGTTATGTTGGTCAATGAAGTTGAGTGGCAAGACTGTTGATGAGAGGGAGAGAGGAAGAGGCTTGGCTAGCACAGGTGGCCTTGTTATGTAGATGAAGTCTCCCTCAGAGAGAATAGATAGTAAATGCTTCTTTTAGACTTTCAAGGGTCAGAATCCCAACCTCTCCTGGATCTGGGTAAGATAAAGGAAGTGGGGTGGGGTTATGGCTGCATTCATAGAGATCCTCTACAGATGCAAAATTTCCCCCCAAAAGCCCCAACTTTGCAAGGCCACTTCCATTTGCTGGCCTAGTGGCAGTCATTTTAAAAAAAAATGTTAAATGGCTGGATGCAGTGTTTCACACCTGTAATCCCAGCACTTTGGGAGGCCGAGGCGGGTGGATCATGAGGTCAGGAGTTCAAGACCAGCCTGGCCAAGATGGTGAGACCCCTCCGTCTCTACTAAAAATACAAAAAAATTAGCCGGGCATGGTAGTGGGCATCTGTAATCCCAGCGACTTGGGAGGCTGAGGCAGGATAATTGCTTGAACCCAGGAGACGGAGGTTGCAGTGAGCCAAGGTCATGCCACTGCACTCCAGCCTAGGCGACAGAGCAAGACTCCGTTTCAAAAAAAAAAAAAAAAGTTAAATATTTTGGGGTAAAATATTTTAATTTCCTGCAGATGTAATTCCTACTTTAGAGCCCAGTTCTATTGTTACCTGCTCCATGAAACTTCCAGAATCTTCCTCCTTGTGTCCTCTCTGAGCTCCCAGAGCACCTGTCTGCTCCACCCCAGGGTTTATGGACAGTGGAGACACACCATGAAATGTCTCACTGCATTGAAAATTTGTAGTAAGTACTCACTGATGAAAAAAATGTTTAATGTGTATGTCCTACGTAGTGCCTTACATTTTTATTAGGCTTTTACTAAGTATTTAACATTTATTGGCCAGGTGCAGTGGCTCATGCCTATAATCCCAGCATTTTGGGAGGCCAAGGAGAGAGGATCACTTGATCCCAGGAATTCGAGACCAGCCTGGGCAACATAGTGAGACCCTGTCTCTGCTTAAAAAAAAAAAAAAAATTAGCCAGGCGTGGCATGCAACTTTGGTCCCAACTATTTGGGAGGATGAGGTGGGAGGACCACACGAGCCCAGGATGTTGAGGCTGCAGTGAGCCGTGATTGCACCACTGTGCTACAGCCTGAGCAACAAAACAAGACTGTCTCAAAGAAATAAAGTAAAATAAAATAAAATTTATTCTTCAACGTACATGTGTTGTTTCTCTGTTCAGCCACTGGAGGGCACTAGTGAAGTCCTTAAATAACTGATCCACTGTTGAGATGAGTTTTTCATGCTCTAGAGGTTGTGTGTGTGTGTGTGTGTGTGTGTGTGTGTGTGTGTGTGTGTGTGTGTGTGTGTGTACATGAGTACTGACGCATCGAGAAAAATACTATTTATAGATTTTCTTTTGTTTTTAAAAGTTAATAATCTACTAAAGATAATAACCACAGTCTTTCTTAAGGTTTTGCATTCAGCTTGTGAATCTTATTATTCATAAGCCTAGAAAATTTGTATAATCACTTTTAAAGGGAATACACATGAATTTTGGGTCTCTTTTACAGTCTTAGATAAATGCTCTTAAATATTTTAGGTTGCCTATAAATTTAATATATTCTATTTTCTTTTGAGGGTTTTGACAAACTTTCCCAAGTACTGTAAATAATTCTTTAAAAATCTAATAAATTAAACTATACCTATGGTAATTAAGTACTCTTCACTGTTCTAAAGCTGTCTACAAGTGATTAAGATTTGTACTTAAGATCACAAGTGTAAATTTATTGACAACATTTACACTTCTAAAATTGGAATTACATGGCTGACTACGATTGTATTAGGCCAAACACTCTTAAATATTATAAACGCTGTATTTGAAATGCCAAGTTGGCACAGCTTCCTTATCACAGCAGCTTCAGTACATCCTTATTTAATGGATTCACTTACAATTATTTATTGAGCACCCATCACGTGCTCGTCACAGTTCCAGACATGGGGGACACAGCATTGAACAAAACAGAAGAAACCCCAGTCCTCATGGAGTTTATGTTGTAGTGAAAGACAATAAACACTATAAGGTAGTAAATTATACCACAGGTTAAAAGATGGCAGGTGCTCTTGGGGAAAAGTAGAGGACACTAAGAGGGAATGGATTGCAGCTTCAAAAAAGTGGGCATTGTAGCCTCCAAAGAAAGCAGCTTTGACAAGGACTTCAAGGGAGTGACAAGGGAGGCAGCAGATATTTGAGGAGAGAACATTACTAGTAAGAGGAACTATTAGAGGAGTTCAAACCAGACCGACTCCATCCTGAGTGAGCGCTAGGAAAATGAGGCTGGGACTTGCTGGGCTGACTCCCAGAAAGTTGGGTATTCCTGGCCTCAAGATGTTTATGGTTAAGGGAACAGATTGATAACATTTACTAAACAGACTCAGACTTGGGAGTGTCCTGATGTCCTGATATCTTGAGAACAGAAGCATGCCTAAGTTTGCTTTAAATATAATAATATTGATTCTTGCAAAAAATAGTAATTAAGAAAATTAATCCTTTATCACAAACCCTTGTAGCAGGGGACATCCCCCCAATCTTCTTTTGTCCTATATATAAACTAGCATTGTACCTAGGGGGGACAGGTTCCTCCTCTTACTTTCGGGACCATCCTACTCTGTCTATGGAGTAGTTGCTCTTTCAATTCCTTTGCTTTGGCCCTTGGACTTGCCCTGGGTTCTTTTCTGCATGAGATCCAAGAACTCTCTATTGGGGTCTGAATCAGGATCCCTTTCTGGTAACAGAACCAGCAATGAAGATTTAGAAGGGGGAGCCACGGAGGGAGAAGGAAAGCAGTGGAGTGTCCTGGAAGCCCAGTTGGAAAAAAGTCTATCCAGGAGGAGGTCATGGTCGTGGTCCCATGTGTTACAGGATACTCCTAAGTCATGTGAGTGAGGGCTGGGGCTTGGGTGCTGGATTTAGGCTGACCTTGAAGAGAGGGTTCAGTGGAATGATAGGGATGCAAGCCGGATTAATGGGGGTTGAATGGAGAGAGAAAGAAGAGAGTATAGAGAAATTGTCAGAGCGTTGCTGTAAAAGAAGGCAGAGTAACGTGCTACTCTCTGGAAGAGGCGATAAGTCAAGAGTTGTTGGCTGGGTGCGGTGGCTCACACCTGTCATCCCAGCACTTTGGGAGGTGGATGCGTGAAGATTGCTTGAGCCCAGGAGTTTGAGACCAGCCTGAGCAACATAGTGGGACCCTGTCTCCATTTTTATTTTTTAAAAAGTATTGTTTCTAGCATTGGAGAAAGAAAAATGGGTTTGCTTGCTAGTGTGAATGATGCAGAGGGGGAGGTGGCATCAAAGATGTGGGAGGAAGACAGAAAGGTTGTTGGATCCATGTCTTAAGTGGGTGAGAGGGGATGGGAACTTAGAGTGTGACACAGAGGTTGTCCCTACACAGATGCACGGACAATTCAACTAACTCAATAGGAAGGAAGGCAGAGTGTGTGAGTACAGGTGCTCTCCGGGCGAAGACACGGTGGTGAGGTTTCTGTGAAATCGTGCTTCTGAAACACCCCATTTTCTTAATGAAAAGGGAGTAAAGTCAGCAGCTGAGGTTGGAAAGGGAAGGATATACTAGAGGTCTGCGGAGAGAAGAAAATGAGTGAAAGTCTAAGAAGTAGGGGCAGGAGTGGTGAAGGAAGCGTGGTGTAAACGCTGGGCCATCTGAAGAGCCCATCTGAGGAGTCCAGTGAGGATTCTAAGGAGAGATCAGTCTGTGTGTGTGTGTGTGTGTGTGTGTGTGTGTGTGTTGTGTGTATGGTGTGGTATGTGTATGTCTGTGATATATGTGGATGTGTGGTATGTGTGTGTGGTGTGTGTGGTGTGTGGTGTGTGTGGTGTGTGTGTGTGGTGTGGTGTGTGTGGTGTGTGGTTGGTGTGTGGTGTGTGTGTGGGGTGTGTGTGTGGTGGGTGTGTGTGGTGTGTGTGGGGTGTGTGGGGTGTGTGGTGTGTATGCGTGGGGTGTGTGTGTGGTGTGTGTGGTGTGTGTGTGGGGTGTGTGGTGTGTGGTGTGTGTGTGTGGTGTGTGTGGGGTGTGTGTGGGGTGTGTGTGGGGTGTGTGGTGTGTGTGGGGTGTGTGGTGTGGTGTGTGGTGTGTGTGGTGTGTGTGGGGTGTGTGGTGTAGTGTGTGCGTGGGGGGTGTGTGTGTGGTGTGGGGGGTGTGTGTGTGTGGTGTGTGGTGTGTTGTGTGTTGTGTGCATGTGTGTGGTGTGTGTGTGTGGGTTTTAAGCTGTGTTAAGCTTCAGGGTTCAAGGGCAGAATAATGGCGTGTTTGAATGAATAAAACAAGGCAAATGTGGAACGAGGGAATCTCAGGTGTGCACAGTGAGGGATGATAAAATCCACTCTGGCATTTAGACGGGCAAGGAGGGAAGAGAGGTCGGGACGTGGCGGGAGGGATGGTGGATGGTGAAAAGGTAGCAGGATCCGTGGATTATTGGCTTCGGGGAGGTTGGGAGATGGTTGGAGTTGCTGTCCTAGGAAGGGTGAGCTGGAAAGACAGGACATGGTGGTCAGAAAGTTTGTGACTTGTAATGACAAAGTCATGGGAGCGAGTGGTGAGGCAGGAGGCAGGTCAGGGTCATGGGAGTGGAAATGTTTAAGGAGCTGAGAGGCCAGGTGTGGGAGAGGTCATCTACACGTGTACTGAGATTACCACAGATTAAGACAGGAGCCCCGTGAGCGAGATTGACGAGCCAAGAGCTAAAGTGACAGAGACATGAGGTGCTGTGGGAGACCGAGGTGGGTGGAGACATGAGGTGCTGTGGGAGACCGAGGTGGGTGGAGACATGAGGTGCTGTGGGAGACCGAGGTGGGTGGAGACATGAGGTGCTGTGGGAGACCGAGGTGGGTGGATCACTTGAGCCCAGGAGCTCAAGACCAGCCTGGGCAACATGGCAAGACCTCGTCTCTACAAAAAATAGAAAAATTAGCCAGGTGTGGTGGTACACGCTCGAAGTCCCAGCTACTTGGGAGGCTGAGGTGGGAGAATCGCTTGAGCCTGGGAAGGTTTAGGCTGCACTGAGCTGTGATCACGCTGCTGCATTCCAGCCTGCATGACACAGCAAGACCCTGTCTCAAAATAAAATAGAATAAAATAAAAAAGAAATGAGGTGGACTGACCCAGGTGTTGGTAGGTGATAAAAACAATGGCAGGTGGGGAGATTCAATCTGATGACTTGAGGTTCACACTGGGGAATGATAGCTGAGGCAGGAAGGAGAGAGAATATTAAATATGCTTTCCCTTGAAGAAAACAATATGTCATCCTGTAGCTTTGGGGTTACCTTACAAAGATATATGTTTTGTCTCTTGCTTTCTTAGCTTGCTGAGGCTTCTTAATGATATTGACCAGGATCTGACTGCTTTTGGCAACTCTAATGGAGTCCCAGCAATCATCTATCACAAGAGCTTCATTCACTAAAGAATGAAGTGGTCCCTAGCCCACTCAGATTTGAGTCATGTTATTATCTAATTTTCAAGTCAGATTACATCTGTAATTCTTATGAAGTTAGCTAGCTGCATCATTTGATTAGATTTTATATTCCTTAGGCTCTTGCCATATGTAAATGTCTTTTTAGTTTAATATTAACTACTGTTGAACTTGTGTATTTCATATTTCTTGAAATTATTTAAAAAGTCTGATCAAATGCTGGGTATTTCTCAGCTTTCCCTATTTGGTTACAGCTTCCAAAATTATTGTACTGTTATGAAGCAGGAACCTTTGTTTGTTGTTGATATTTGTTTTCAGGATTCCTTGTTAGATAGAACATCTAGAGACCATGATATGGTTTGGCTCTGTGTCCCCACCCAAATCTCACCTTGAATTGTAATAATCCCCATGTGTCAAGGGTGGGACCAGGGGGAGGTAATTGAATCATGGGGGCAGATTCCGCCATGCTGCTCTTGTGGTAGTGAATAAGTCTCAGGAGATCTGATGGTTTTATAAATGTGAGTTTCCCTACGCAAGCTCTCTTGCCTGCCACCATGTAAGATGTGCCTTTGCTCCACATTCACCTCCTGCCATGATTGTGAGGCGTCCTCAGCCATGCGGAACTGTGTCAATTAACCACCTTTCTTTTATAAATTACCCAGTCTCAGGTATGTCTTTATTAGCAGTGTGAGAACAGACTAATACAGCCCATATCATCCATTCATGTGTCTTGCCTCTTTGGAGATTTACGTGCCTATTGATCCTCATTTTATTCGTAACAGAGACCTTAAACTAATTTTTAAGGGAGTTTGAACCAAAGTAAGTAATCTGACTGGGATTGTGTTTAGAATTTTCACTTACAGAAACTCATTTTTGTTCCCCAAAAAAGCACTTCCAAATTTTGTATTATGTTTCTTTTCTTTTTATTATTTATTTATTTATTTGTTTTTCTGAGATGGAGTTTTGCTCTGTCACCCAGGCTGGAGTGCAGTGGCGCAATCTCGGCCCACTGCAACCTCCGCCTCCTGGGATCAAGCAATTCTCCTGCCTCAGCCTCCTGAATAGCTGAGATTACAGGCACCTGCCCCCACGCCTGGCTAATTTTTGTATTTTCAGTAGAGACAGGGTTTCACCATGTTGGCCAGGCTGGTCTCGAACTCCTGGCCTCAAGTGATCCACCCACCTCAGCCTCCCAAAGTGCTCGGATTACAGATGTGAGTCACTGTGCCCAGCCTATTTTTTTTAATGAGCCTAATATGTCTTTATTTTCATTCTTTATTTTTATTACATACTTTTCTCTCTTCAATGGTGCAAACTCCTTTCCTGTCTGTGATTACTGGGTGCTTCCGTGTTTTTATTTTTATTTTTTAAAACTACTTTTAAAATATATATGGAGATGGGGTCCTACTATGTTGCCCAGGCTGGACTCTAACTCCTGGACTCAAGCGATCCTCCTGCCTCAGCCTCCCAAAGTGCTGGGATTACGGGTGTGAGCCACCATGCCTGGCTGCTTTAGTGTTTTGTTCGCACGCAATATCTGACTGATTCTTGACAAGGAAAAATCACCATCCCCTTTGATATCATTTATCCAAGTATTTCTACTCACAAAGCAAAACATTATTACCACCATTATTTTACTGTTACTTTACTTTAGTTAATTAATTAACTAATTTTTTTTTTTAAGGCAGAGTCTTTCTCTGTTGCCCATGCTGGAGTGCAGTGGTGCAGTCTCTGCTTACTGCAACCTACATCTCCCAGGTTCAAGCGATTCTTGTGCCTCAGCCTCCTGAGTAGCTGGGATTACAGGCATGTGCCACCATGCCTGGCTAATTTTTTGTATTTTTAGTAGAGACAGGGTTTTGTTGGCCAGGCTGGTCTCGAACTCCTGGCCTCAAGTGATCCACCTGCCTCGGTCTCCCAAAGTGCTGGGATTTCAGGTGTGAGCCACTGTGCCCAGCCTACCATTATTTTAAAATTTCTGTTGGCTTTAGAGGGAAGTCTTCAGGGCAAACATAGTCACAGTCCCTCATAAATAATTCTTTGGGGAAGTCCTCTAACTTTTGCAAGATAAATTAATCTGTTTTTAGTTTTTAATTTGAAAAAATATTTATTACACACAATATGTTAATCGAATTCAGTTCTATTAGCTTTTTCCCTCTGCCGTTCTTTTCTAGACAGTTTCTAGTGTGTCCATATATTACAGTTGCAGCGCAGAGGATCAGGTGTGGTTCTCGGATATATTCCTCAAACAGAATCAGATAGAGCCTACGTGTACAGAGCATATCTGAGAGCTTTGTGCGTTGCCACATTCGTCAGTAGTTTCCTCTGCAAAAGGCAGTCACGTCTAGCTGAAAAACCTAAGCAGTCCTCTTCAGACCTCAAATGATGTAGGACCTGTGTGGTCATTAGCAGACAGCAACGGAGTCGCTTAGAGACAGAGACGCTGGGTAATAACTGGGCCCACTCACTAAATAAATAACTTATTATAACTTATTCATGCACATCTGCCTTGCAGAGTAATTCAAAATTGTGTTTCAGAAAAATGACAAATTATTATACTCAGGAAAGTTCCAAACACAGTATTAAGTTCCGTGTACTCAGCCGGGTGCGGTGGCTCACTCCTGTAGTCCAGGCACTTTGGGGGGCTGAGGTGGGAGGATCGCTTGAGCCCAGGAGTTTGAAACCAGCCTGGGCAATACAGGGAACCTCTACTCTACAAAAATGAAAATAAAAATAAATTAGCCAGGTGTGGTGGTGCATGCCTGTGGTCTCAGCTACTTGGGAGGCTGAGGTGAGAGGATCACTTGGGCCTGGGAAGTTTAAGGCTGCAGTGAGCTGTGACCTAGCCACTCTCCTCCAGCCTGGGCCACAAAGCAAGACCCTGTCTCAAAACCAAAACCAAAACCAAAAAACCCTATGTAGTGGAACCTCACTAATTACCGGGGTTTGCCATGTTCTACAAAATTCTCTTTAGCCACAGCAGCTTGCTGTGAAATTGGATCGTTTGATTCTTACTGCTGGTGAAGCTATTCCGTTTCTCTATCCTTCCCTGACAGAGGAGGAGGGAGGGGCGTCAGAGAATTTCTTCCTTTTATGATAATAGGATCAATATTAGTTCTCCTTTCCCCCCAAAATGTGTGGTAGACTGAAACCTGGGGGGCAGATAAAGGTGGTGGAGATCTTTGGATGTGGTTGTCTCTACCTTCCACCTGTTGTTGATGTCATCGTGAACAGATGCTTAGAAGCACTGCTTGCTCCCAAATGAAGCTCTGATTCTGCAGGAGCTCAAACACAGCGGGATGCTGGACTTGCAGGCCGGTAGCTGTCCAGCAGGAAAGCTGTGCTTTCCCAGCTGCGGTGGGTGGGTTCCAGTTTTGGCCAACTCTCCCTAGTTCATTAACCATCAGAGCCTTACAGATGACACTTATGCTCATCACAGCATCATCTGTAAGGCTCTGAAAGCATTCCAAATACCAGACCCAACTGCTGGGGACAGAAAAGTCACAACCCCAATCTCTGAGCGGTGCTTTTTTGTGCATAGTTAATCTGAGCCTTGGGATAGCCCTGTGAGGCAGGGGTGGCTGGTGTTTCATGCCCTTTGTGTCAATGAAAGGTCAGCCCTTTGTGGAGGAAGGAGAGGGTTTATGACCAAATCTGATTCTTTCACTTAATAGCACAGAGACTTTGGACAAGTTCTCTGGGCCACAGTCTCCATCTTTATAAGGTAAAATATAATAACCTTGAGATATAATTGTGGCAATTAAGTGAGATGATGCTGGTGCAGCCCTTGCCATGATTTCTGGTGCATCAGCGTCTCTGGAAGTTAGAGAATTTGCTCCTGGACACACGATATGAAGAACTTAGTCATGGGTGTTCTGGGGCTCGGGACAGGATGTTTTCTGCTCTACCATGTGGTTTTTCCAGGGTGGAAACTGCTGTTGCATTTTCACTTTGTTGGAGGATAGGTCCAGTTAAGAGATGAGGACTTTTAATTTCAATCTTGACTTTTTTAACATTTAAATGTTAGCTTTTTTCGGTAAGATAATGTCTGAGAGAAGCAGGATTTCTGGATTAAAGGAAAAATGAATTTGTGATTGTAATAAGAATTGACAAATTGTCTCTCTAGGGCTCTACCCCCTCCCAAAACCAGGAATGGAGGAAAGTGGCCATCAACCTTGCCAAATGGAGTGTACTGCCACACTTACAGACTTTTGCAATGAGATGGGTAAGAAGTTGTATGTCAGTGCAGCTGTTATGAATGAAACTGAGCATCTTTTCATGTATCCGAGAGCCATCTGTAATTTTTGTGTGTGTATATGTGTGTGTGATGTATTCGTGTCCTTGCTTATTTTTCTTCTGGGTTAGTTCTTGTTCTTTTCAATTTTGAGTAGCTGTTTGTATATTTGATCAATCATCCATGTGTCTTTTATATGAGTGGCAAACATTTTTTCAACTCTATCATTCATTTTTCTTTTGACTTTGCCTCTGTTGGTGGTGGTGGTGTTAGTTGTTGGTGTGTGTGTATTTGTGTGTGTGTGTCTGCGTTGTTTTACCATGCACAAATTTGTTTTATTTACTGCTGATTTCTTACCACGCAGAAGTGAGTGGGACCACAGCCCCTCTTTTGGGAATCTGGCCTGGGCTTTGCTGCCAGGAGGCCATCAGAGCTGCTGCTGATGTTCATTTTGACGGGAACTTTGCTCATATTGAAGGTTCTCCTCTCTGCACTCCTCATATTTATATTTTTACGCTAATTGCTCTCACTTTGCAGTTCATCATCTATATGCTCCATGGCGGTGTTTGCTTCTTTTTAAGTTCTGGCTTTGTCCATCCACTGAGGTCATTGGCTGGGGGAGTGCAGAGGCCTGGCCTGGACATCAGTGTTGGCCGCAATACCCAGCTTAGCACAGGGAACTTACTGTGGGTTCAGTGCGAAAGCCATGGAGGGCTAGCGGTCCCCAGGCCCTACAAGCCATGGAGGAGTTTGAGATGTTTCAAGGGGCTAACTGAAAGCTCCCTCCTCCTTTTAGCCATGACATCCACTCTGAAACAGTTCCCAGGTTGTGTCTCTTGGTGGGACCGGGTCCCAGGGACGGGTCTAGACCGAATGACTCTTAAGTTCTCCTTTACCCCTGCTAAGGTCTCCCAGACCCATTTCCCCCCGAGAGAGAATGGGAATTGGCTCCCCAGGACCCTCCCTCATCCTCTTCCCTGTCCCAAGCTCAGAGTTTGAAGGCAGTGGGGCTGAAGGAAGAGGAACTGAGACAAGCCAGGAGTTGAAGAAGCCATTGTTTTAATGGGGTGAGGAGGTAGGGAAGGATTCGGTGGCAGGAAGGCGAGTGCTGCAGCTCCTCTTTCTGCCCTGGAAGAAGTTGATGTGTGGGAGAGGAGCCCTGAACGCTCTCTTCTCAGGCATGGGGTCAACAGAGAGAAGACTGGAGAGGAGGAATGCATGAACTTTGCCTCTTGCTGTGGGGAGGGAGGAAGGAGACGCTGAGTACAGGGAGGAACGTTAGCTGCTTTGTGTCTGGGAAGGTTGGACAATACTGCACTTCTGTGTGTACAGACAGAGCAGGAGGGAGACAGGGTCAAAGGCCAGAAGAGATCAGAGGGGCTCAGCAGTGCAGCAACCTGTAAAACTGACTGATCCCACAAAACACAAACCAGCAGACAGCACCCTCCCCCTCCCCTCCCCCCCTCGCCCTCCCCTCCCCCTCCCCTCCCCCTCCCCACCCCGCTGCCCTCCCGTCCAGCCTCCGCCTCTACTTCTTCCTCCCAATTTGCGCCATCAGGTGGGCATTGGCGGCCGCCTGGGCACGCAGGTTCTTGGCCTTGGCGATGTTGAAGAGGAGGTTCATGATGTTGGTGGGGACGTCGAGGGACAGGGTGAACTTGGTGCGGTGGGGACTCTTGGCCGTGTCCTGGCGTGGCTTTCCCCTGGGCTGTGCTTGGGACACGTATCTGTACCGGGTGCCTCTGGCTCCACCCCTGGCCCCAGAGATGGGGAAAGTCTTTTTCTCTTTGCCCTCCTCCTCCTCTCCCGAAGAGGCGTCTCTGCTGCGCAGGTAGTGGAAGCTCCTCTTGCTCAGCAGGGATGCATCCTCCCACTGGCCCTTCTCAGCCTCAGACAGGGCGGTGTTGAGGCAGCTGAAGATGGGCTTGGCTTTGTAGAACTTGTGGGGGAGGCCTGTCCTGGGGCCCCCCAGGAGCAGCAGCAGGAGCAGCAGGAAGTGGACCGGCATCAGCATCTCTCCCTGCAGCAGAAAAGAGGGATGTGGGCAGGGGCATGGGAGGGGCGTGGTGCTCTGGAGGACCTGGATTAAAATCTACTAGGGTGTTGTTAATGTTCCACTACAAGGGTTCTCCAAGTATGACCCCCAGACCAGCAGCATCAGCCCGGGCTGGGACTTTGTTAGAAATGCAAATAATTCTCAGGTCTTTTTCCAGAACGAGTAAATCAAAAGCTCTGGGGCCCAGCTGCCTGTGTTCTAACAAACCCTGCAGATGATCCCAGTGATCACTGAAGTGTGAGAACCATGACCTCATTAGTATTTATGGGTTTTATTTAATTCAGCTTTGCAGGCAGCCTCTGCCCCTGTAAAGCGAATAACTAATATACTAAGTAAGCACCTAGCAGCCTACCATAGTTGATTTTAATGGTAAGTGAATTTTATGTTCCTTCATCATTGGCAAGGCTGACTGAATATATCCCTGTTGCTTAAAGACCATGGCTGGGCGTCTAGTCAATGTTTCTAAGTCAGATCTTTAAGGCTGGTTTCTCGCTAGGCTATCCTAGTTTCTTGAGAACAATCAGATTTGTTATTAATAACTAGGTTGGTTTTACTGTAGACTTTATGATTTATGAAGCCAAAGTCAGCTTGGTCTTTTTGTCAGACCAAGTATCATCCAGGGAGCACCAACGTCCTCCAACCGCAGGACCTCAATGCCAACACTGTCTATGATCTCTAAGATGTGTGGGATCCTGGTTATCAGTCAGACTGAGTCAGGGTGATTGTCCAGGGCAAGAAGGAAACACTGAGAGCTCGGAAAGGATGCTAGTCTCTAGGGACCCATTGAATCCATTCTTTTATTTAAAAAAAGAAAAATAAAAACTGGCCAGGCACGGTGGCTCACACCTGTAATCCCAGCACTGTGGGATGCCGAGGTGGGAGGATTGTTTGAACCCAGGAGTTCAAGAGCAGTTTGGGCAACATAGTAAGACCTCATCTCTACAAAAAAAAAAAAAAAAAAATTAGCTGGGCGTGGTGGTGTGCACCTGCATTCCCAGGTACTCAGGAGGCTGAGGCAGGAGGATTGCTCGAGCTCCAGAGGTCGAGGCTACAGTGAACTGTGATTGTGCCACTGCCTCCATCCTGGGCAACAGAGCAAAACCTAGTTTCAAAAAAAGAAAAGAAAAAAACCCTAAGCATTAGCATATGGACTGTTGTGGCAATACAAACGTCCGACTCGATGACCCTCATGTTCCTTGGACTGTTCAGGCTTTAAGCGTCATAGACTCTTGCTGGTTCACTGATCAACAGTGTCAAACAAGACATCAAACTGCCATCCCCATCAGGGGAGAAGGGCTTGTGCTGAGCCACCTGCACCCTCCCGCCGGGCTCCTTCACAGTAGCAGCATCAGCTGTGCCAGAGGCCGTCAGAGTTCAGGTTGCCCATGGCCACTGTCCCTGAGGATATTGTGAAGTGGGCAGAGTTGACTTCCTGTGCCCTGAGATCAAACCCACCATTCTGCAGTCAGTCCTTTTTGCCTGGTCTGCGGGCACACACTCTCCCCAGCCCTGTAATAAGGACATCACGTTTATTTATTCATTGTTGTCCTTCATCATGCACAAGGATGAAACAGTGAGGGGCACATGTCCGGAGTGTTATCTAAACACCTAGAGAAAGCACGGCTGCCGTCTGCGGGCCCCGCTCACACCCCGACATGCCTGTTCTCTCATTGCGGTGTGAGGATGAACCATCCCCTGGGCTATCCTGTGAGATAGAAGCAGTGAAAGGCTCTGCTATTTACATTTGAGGGCTTTTCCTGAACTCGAAGTTCACTTTATTACCGAAGACATACTTGGCTTTCACAAAAGCAAGCAAGAAACATGTGGTTCACTATCAACTTGGGAGAATCCTTTTCTTACGTTAGTTTTTCAAAATAAATAAGAACAATTGGGTAAGTAAATCACCTGGTGATTCGCCTGGGCCTTCAGCAGCGTGAGGCTGGCATTGGGTCATTTTGTTCCTTGCGGTGACAGTGCAGAGCAGGGCCAGGCAGGGCTGGCAGTCGGTGCTCAAGCTCCAGTCTCTGCTCTGCAGCTCCTCATCAGTGTGGCCTTGACGAGGCCATTTCCCACACATGAGTGCAGTGGACCCAACCCAAGCCCA
The DNA here is from genome assembly GCF_000001405.40 of Homo sapiens. NCBI lineage: Eukaryota > Metazoa > Chordata > Mammalia > Primates > Hominidae > Homo > Homo sapiens. The sequence goes on along the minus strand of NC_000010.11, from coordinate 5,371,574 downwards.
ACCAGACAGCCTTAGGCTGTGAGCGATGGACAGAACCAGCGCTGACCCTTAGCAAAGGGAGCCTGGGTCTCTTTCTAAAGGAGGATCCTGTAAGTCCCCGCTGCTTCACTTACCCTGGAAACAGACACACACACAGGACGCACAGGAACATAGACAAGCACACATACAAACAGGTACACATACACATACACATGCACCCACATACAGATACACACATATATACATGCACACATGTGCATATACACACCTTACACGTACATACACATACATATAGACACATGCACACACATATATACATGCACATACACGCACACACACCTCACACATACATATAGACATGCATATTTATACATGCACACATATGCACACATACACACCTCACACGTACACATATGCACATACATACACATGCACACACATATACATGCACACATATGCACACACATACATACCTCACATGTACATGCATACACACAACCATACACATGCACACACATACACACCTCACACGTACATACATACACACACATACATATAGACACATGCACACACGTATATATATGCACACATATGCACACACATACATACCTCACATGTACATACATACACACACACACACCTTACACACATACACATGAACACACATATACACACGCATATACACACGCATATACACACGCATATACACACGCATATACACACACATACACACGCACACACACGCGCACACACACGCGCACACACACGCGCGCACACACACGCACACACACATATACACACGCATACACACACACACGCATATACACACGCATATACACACACATCATATACACACACATATACACACGCATATACACACACATCATATACACACACATATACACACATACACACACACATACACACACATACACACACATACACACACATATACACACACATACACACGCATATACACGCATATACACACGCATACACACACACATATACACACATATACACGCATATACACACACATATACACACATATACACGCATATACACACACACATACACACACATATACACACGCATATACACACACATACACACATATACACACGCATATACACACATATACACACACACATACACACGCATATACACACGCATATACACACACACATATACACACACATATACACACGCATATACACGCATATACACACGCATATACACACACATATACACACGCATATACACACGCATATACACACACATACACGCATATACACACGCATACACACACGCATATACACACGCATATACACACGCATATACACACGCATACACACACGCATACACACACGCACATACACACACATACACACGCATATACACACGCATATACACACGCATATACACACACATATACACACACATATACACACGCATACACACACATACACACACATACACACACATATACACACGCATATACACACGCATATACACACGCATATACACACATATACACACACATACACACGCATATACACACGCATATACACACACATATACACACACATACACACACACATACACACATATACACACGCATATACACACGCATATACACACACATATACACACACATACACACACACACATACACACACATATACACACACACATATACACACACACATATACACACACATATACACACACACCCACGTGGATAAATGTTTACCCAGCACATTTCCTGTCAAAGCCTGTTCCTTCCCTTGGTTCTCCACATTGCAGCTGTTGCCTTTCTTTCCTTTAATTTTTTTGTCTAAGAAATCAGGTTTTGCTTTGTTTGTTCCATTTATTTTGCATTACAAAAATTTTGAGAGCTTATTTTATGCACTAATATTTTTCATAATTTATGAGAAAACACATGATCCTCGCTTTAAATAGTCCAAACCTATGAACTAGCCAGATCTGGGCATGTTGCCTGGCGAAGTGAGAACAACACAGGCTTTGGAGTTAGACACAGGCTCGAATTCCTTCTTCGTCCTTATTTCCTTATTTGCCTGAGGGTTTGGGCCGATAACCTCTGTGAATTTCAATTTCCTTCTCTGATAAATGGGATGGCAATAACCACCTCATGAAGGTTAAGTGAAGGATTCGATGAGAAACGTCAATGTGTGTATGAAAGCTCCTTGTCTGAGCAGATGCTCAATCAAGGCTGACCCACACCTGAATAATCTCCAGGTCTTCTTAGGAGAAGATCTGGTCTGCACACAACCTTTTCAGAAGTGCATTTTACACACACAGTTGTGTATACACAATACACATATGTACAGAGAGACCAGGAAATCTGAGCAAGCATTTGATCCTGCAGAGCAATGTCCTTGTTGTATCGTATCTCTGGCTTGTAGCTTTTGGCTCCATGCTACCCTCTCCACCCTGACCTGTGCAGACTCCTTTTGCCCTTAGTCTAAGTAAGCGGTTCTCAACTTTCAGGTGCTTTGGACTCATGTGAAGGCGCGGTTCAAACACAGCCTGCGGGGCCCCGTCCCAAGAGTTTCTGAGTCACTGGGTCTGGATGCTCCTGAGAACATGCATTTCTAGCACAGTCCCACGTGATGCTGATGCTGAGGTCTGAGGGCCACACTCTGAGAACCGCTGCTCTGCGTGCTCTGACCCGACTCTGGACTCCTTAGAGCTGTACCCCGGAGTTCCAGGGGTGCACTAACCGTCCCTGTGGAAAATGGGCTTTTCTTTCCTTAAATGTTGCATTCAATAGGCAGACCTTCAGCTTTCTCATTTACAGAGGACCTAATGAGTTGTTTTTCATAAATAGAGTATGAAGCATGGTTTTAGCTGCCTTATACCTTGAAGGCATCTTAAAGCTTGGAAATTATTTCGAATGGCTTGCTAACCCTGAAAGGGTTTAAAAAAACAAAAACCAATTTGGAAAGGTTAATACTGGGGGGAAAGTGGTGGAGAAACTTTGTCTCTCTGTCCCTTTCTTCCTTCATCCCTTTTTTCCTTTCACTACCAGACTCAGTCCTGTCCCTCCCACTCACTAGCTCATGCCTAACCGCCCAGGACCTCACTATTTTCCTCTGTGAGAGCAGGGGATTGAGTTCGAGAATCTTTGTTCTGATTTCTTTCTTTTTCTACTTCTGAAAGCCAGAGGTCCCTCTACGAAAAGCACTGGGAGAATGAAATGAGTTCTTGATTTTCACCAAATGAAAGGCGCCTGGACTCTGGGTGGGTGTAAGCTAAAATAGAGGGTGCTGGCCGGACTGGGTGGCTCACACCTGTAATCCCAGCACTTTGGGGGGCCGAGGCAGGTGGATCACCTGAGGTCAGGAGTTTGAGACCAGCCTGGCCAACATAGTGAAACCCTGTCTCTACTAAAAATACAAAAATTAGCCAGGCGTGGTGGCACACGCCTGTAATCCCAGCTACCCAGAAGGCTGAGGCAGGAGAATTGCTTGAGCCTGGGAGGTGGAGGTTGCAGTGAGCCAAGATCATGCTACTGCACTCCATCCTGGGTGAAAGAGTGAGACTCTGTCTCAAAAAAATAAATAAATTAAAAAAATTAGAGGGTGCTGAGATGCAACCCTGGAGCTACCCTCAGGCCTCCCTCTGTGGGTTCCACATGGCTCTCTCCCCACTGCCCCACCACCCCATTTGTTTATTTTGCTTCCTCACTCAAACCCTGCACCCCAGCCCAGGGAACCCCTCCCTGCTCCTTTCTATTTCCTTCCCGGGGCAGCATTCTGCATTTACCCTCAAGCACTTAGAACTTTGCAGAATAATTGCAAATATTACTGAGAACTCAGACTACTTTCTGAGTTCAAGCCCATCTTGGGGCTCTGCTCACACGGACTGGCCCTTTAGTGTAAATCAACACTTGAGTTTACCTGTCTATCTCCACCCCTTAAAGACACTTTGGGTGTTATATTTCTTTGGTGTCTCCATTTCTGCTAAATATGCCAAGCCTTTCACTATCCCTCTGGGTCATTTGGCTCTCAGCAGTGACTCAGGATGCTTGGAAAAGCCTGACATGGCCAATAGTGCCTTATACTAAATCATATTCTCAATCAATATTTGTTGAATGAATTGAAATTCAGATTAGTATTCAGGCACTTAATTAAATCAATTTATTTTCCAAAGCAAAACAACCTCTTTTAAATTCTTTCATGGATGTACATTCTCTCTGCAAATCATGTTGTTACGTATCACAGAGGAAAAAATCTTTTATATGGCATACTTTTTTGGTTTTGTTTTTTAATTATGAAATCATACATGTGTACCTAGAGTCACTTGAAAGATGAGGGCTTCTGAACATGAAACAGCCTCGTCTAAGTAACTTTCTGCAATTTTCCTGTGAAAAAGTTCAGGTTTTCCCTTGCAATGGGCTAGCCTCTGGATGTGTTCCCTGGAAGTGCTACCTGTCTCATCTCAGTTACAAAAGCAAGGCATTGGGGAGAGGGAGTGAGATCCCTTTTACCTCTATATTTACTTTTTCACATTTTTGGGGTCAATTTGTAAATACTGTGCCTTTTAAAAAATGCATTACCTTCTTATTTTTCAAATCCCAAGTCTACCATCAGAGAAGAATACTGTAATCACGGCTAGGGTGCTGAAGGTGTGGAAAAATCTGTGAAAGTGTCAGGGAGCAAGTGTCCTGCGTGGCGCTCTGTTCTTGGTGCATCTGCAGGTAGCAGACCTTTCTCTCTCTGCAAACCCTCAGCTCTAGCCTGCACACGGTTGTGAGGGTATTGAAAGGTGTCCCCTTACCATCAGCAATGATGCAAAGTTACACAGCAAAGGAACCTCCCAGAACTGTGAATTGGACATGATAGGGACGCCCGGTGCTGAGCTTAGTTTTAGATCGTTTAAAATGTAAGGGTTCTTTGCAACCCTGGATGGTTTCACCATCAAAGTGTGTGAGTGGCTGGGGGCTGGAAGGTAGATTCAGATTTCTTTCCAGGACTTTTCTTTTTAGGATCTGTTTAGATTTGTTTAGGGTTTATAGGATAAAAGAAAAGGAACTCTCCCCAAAGAAGAAAAGATACTCTGTACTTCCCACATAAAGTCTAATTTTGCAAGTTTCTCCTTTTACATTCCTTGGACTCTTCTGCCATATTCTTGGTGAAACAGCACAAAAGTTTAAGATTTCTCTGCAGTCTGCCACGAAAATAACTGGGCACCATCTAGTTATTAATACATTTGAGGGGCAAAGCTCTACACCTGTATTTTTCTCTGGGTGCCTGAAACTCAACCATTCCTTTGGGCTATGGTGACAGTAGCACTTGTCGAGGATGCTGTAAAGAGACACAGTTACTTCTGGGAGCTGTGGCAGAGCCAAGCACTGAAACGTGAGGGACCTGGGTCAGCCTCCAATTCCCAGCACCTCACAGGGAGAGGACAGGACATGAAGCAGCAAAGGCAGGAGGCAAACAGTACTGATCACACATCTCTGCCAAGTGCAGAGCTATTCCTGTGGGCTCCGTTTGTCTGCAAACACTGATAAGAAGTTAAACTGAAACTAGACCACTTAAAACGTTTTAAAAATCTCACATTTGTTATTTTTGGTAGGTGGCTATGCTTGGGAAAGAAATTGCGAACAGGAATTTTCAGAAAACATAAACATCAAACATCCATCTCCCCTTCACAGGTAGGAGTTAGCCATTGTAGGTATCTGCACACACCCCCGCAATGTTCCTAGTGTGGCAAAGGGCTCTGGGCTTTGGTGGCAGAGGACCTGGCTGGGGAAACTCCCTTGCCTCTGACTTTTCTTGGGTGAATCCCTTAACCTGCATTTCACTTGCCGCGTCCTAGGAAGGAGACGTTACCTGCTTCACAGGTGTGCCCGAGAGTGACGGGAGATGGCACAGGTGAAGGTTTGTGGCACAGGTAAACAGTAAGTGCAGGTGTCCTCGCTGCTTTGCAGGCGGCGTGGAGTCATGTCCTGTGGCTCCCATTAGCCCCGGCATCCCTACCCCATCCCCATTTGTAAACTGTCTCCGAGGACTGACTTTCCTGTGCACAGCTGTGCTCTGTTCAGAGAAAACAGATTTGTGTGAACACCTTCTGCCTCTGATCTAACACCTTTGGAAAGAGGGTCTCTCTATACCAACGTGGGAATGTGATTGTGCCTCCCTGAGAAACTTCCCCTGGTCCCTTTGGGGCTGATTTCTGCTGATTGGGTGGGGGGCGTTCAGCATCGCTCCCTTGGGCTTCCACCCAGGGGCGCTAGCAGCTCTCATCTCTCACACCTGTCTAGTGCATGGCACCTCCTGCTTAAATTAGGGCAGATACATTTACCCTTCATAAGTCAGTCCCAGCCACAAGCTTACCCGAGAGTGGACTTCCCTCCGCAGCGAAACGCTCAGGGAGGCCGGCGCAGCTTCAGGGCCAGGAGGGCGGCCCCGTGCACGTCCCCATGAACTTGTGGCTGCTCCGGGGTCTCGGCTCCTGCTTCTCCGGTATTGTTCCTAAGTGGGCTGTGATATTCCCTCTCTATGGAAACGGTCCCCTCCCCTGTGTGTATATAAAAGTGACAGATCACAGGGTGGATCGTAATTCCAGACGTGGTGTCTACGCTGGGATGAGATTTCATTTAAAATACAACCAGAACCAGCCGTCCACGTCATGCAGACGACAGGTGCTCCAACCTCGACCCCTCCCACCTCTGCTTCCCACCCCGCCCTTCTACCCCCCAACTCCTTTTGCATCCTAGCAACTTGCTTCATTGATAAAAGCAAAGAACAAAAAAGAAAAAGAAGAAATAAAAACTCAAAACAAAACAAAACAAAAATCCTGGTAAAGTGAGAAGCAGTGTCTTTGAAGAATTTTATTGCTGATCTTAGTTCTAACTAATTTCAGTTTCCCCCACATTCCCCTTGCCCTAACTCTCCTTCTGTAAATGTAGAGCCTGGACCTGCTTTGAAAGCAGAGAAGGGGTTTAAAATCCACCTGTTGCCGTGTTGTTTTGTGGGTTCTGACCGTGCAGCGTCATCTGGCCGCACACGTAGCCCCTTGTGCTTGTCACACACTCGGTGCCTACTCCCCACATAAAGTCTAATTATGCAAGTTTCTCCTTTCACATTCCTTGGGCTCTTCTGCCGTACCCTCAGTGAAACAACACGAAAGTTTAAGATTTCTCTGCAGCCTGCCGCGAAAATGACTGAGCACCATCTATTTGTTAATACGTTTGAGGGGAAAGCTCTACACCTGCATTTTTCTCTGGATACCTGAAACTCAACCATTCCTTTGGGCTATGACAGCAGGTCATCATACACCAGAGGTCTGGAGGTTTTAGTGGGAAATGGCTTGGATTTTACTCGTTTATGCATCCTATATTTATTGAGGACTTACTGTGTACCAGGTATTGCCAAGACACCCACGAGTTCAGAGATAAGTAAGTTGTGGCCCCTAACCATACAGGGCCTCATGGTTTAGAAAGGTAGGGAAGGCTGGGTGCGGTGGCTTATGCCAGTAATCCCAGCACTGTGGGAGGCCGAGGCGGGCAGATCACGAGGTCAGGAGTTCAAGACTAGCCTGGCCAACATGGTGAAACCCCGGCTCTACTAAGAATACAAAAAAAATTAGCCGGGCATGGTGGCGAGTGCCTGTAATTCCAACTACTCAGGAGGCCAAGGCAAGAGAATCACTTGAACCTGGGAGGTGGGGGTTGCAGTGAGCTGAGATGGCGCCATTGCACTCCAGCCTGGGCAACAGAGTGAGACTCCATCTCAAAAGAAAGAAAGAAAGAAAGGTAGGTAAAAAATGCTACAGAAGAGAGCAGTCCTGTCTACTCAAGACAGGAGAGGAGAGCAGGAGGGGTTTCAGACAGAAAGGATGGATCAGCATGGACTGAGCCAGGGCTGAGAGGAACGGGAGAGAAGGAGGACGATGGGAGGGAGGTGTTGGTGGGTGCAGAGGCTGCTCTGCACTAAGGTGCTCCAAAGGCCTGCGGAGTTGGGAGTTTATTCCATATGTAATGGGGAGATGTGGGAGACTACGGTCTGTTGACCCCTTATTCACAGATGAGGAAGCTGAGGCTGTAAAAAGTGACCTGCTGGGACCCCACAGGCCCAGGGTGACAGAGTCAGGTGAGAACCAGGCCTGACGCTGGGCTCAGTGCTCCTTTCACTGGGCTGAGCTGATGACAAGGGGCCCTGCAAGACCGGCTGGCTGTCCCTAGCCCTCCTCCCAGACGGCTGCTCCACTCTCGTGAATTCCTGCAGGTGAAGAGGTAAGAGGTCTTCTGAAATTACCAAAACTCTTTAAAGCCCATGAGCATTTGGAGGAACAAATGGAAAGCTGTTGTGGGGAAGGACTTCAAGACTCTGTACTCCCCATTTTAAGTCTCTTTATGGAGATAGGAAATTGGACCTCCCTCTCTTCCTTCTTTCAGAGCTGCCTGGGCTAGGATCCTCTTGAGATTGGAGGCAACATGAAACTGAATCTGTGTTTCAATTCAAATTCATTACTTCATTCATTCATTCATTAGTTCATTCATTCATTCATTCATTAGTTCATTCCTTCATTAGTTCCTTCATTCATTCATTTGTTCTAGTTTTTGTGAGGTTTTTGTTCTGCTTTCCATTTCAGATAATGATGCAGTAATGGAATTTATGCAGGTTGAGGGGTAGATTTCCACCTGAGTTTAACTCTCCTGTCTGCCTTATGGGCTCTGAGATGCCAGGGATCTGGCAACGTTGGTCTCCCAGGGCAGGGTTTCCCATCCTCAGCACTGTTGACATTTTGGGTGAGGTAATTCCTTGTTGGCCTTGGGGTCTGCCCTGAGCTCTGGAGGAATTTAGCAGCATCCTGGGCATCTACCCATTAGATGCCAGTAGCACTCCCCTCTTTGTCTGTGACCATCAAAAATGTTTCCAGACATGTCCTCTGGGGGCATGAGGACCACTTCCCTACAGTATGGGGTTTAGAAAGAGAGACGATGAACCCTGGCTTCTTTTCTTACCTTGTTTCCTCTGAACTTCCTAGAAATCCTCCTACCCTGAGGCCACCTCGCTGGGACTGAAGGGTCTTGGTGTTGGTGGCTGTTCTTGGAGCCTGCCGTCCCTTCGTCACACAGAGCAGGCTCATCGGCTCCCACTGGTCCATCCTGGGTGGGCTTTGGCATTGTCCAGTGACTTCTGCTAGCCTGGATGGAGTTCCACACAGAATGTTTCATGGACATGAGCAGCTGTAAGGGTGCAGTCCAGGGTGTAGTTTTCTAGAAATGTCAAGAAATAGTACATTTGCTTTACAACTTGAATGACGCATCTGGTGGGGGACTGAACAGAGGCTTGGGCAGCAAGAAGATGATGAGTAGCAAAACCTCTGGAGTGTCATTTCTAGCAAACAACGATTTCCCTCCCTCCCCATGGCTGATGTGTGAATGTGGCGTGTTTCTACACTTGCACTTCTCTCTGGCCTTTGTGAGTCATTGGTATCTTCCGTGGACTCAGCATGAGCATGTTGTTCAGGGATGTAAATGTCCTGTAGAGGGTACAAAGAGGGCCAGGGTGAGAAGAAAAAGCTGATCAGCTTCTCAGGTGAATAGAAATGGCTCATATTTATAAAGCTCATTTCTCCAAAGTGCTCAAAGCACTTACACTTAATAACATAATTATTTCCTCAACATCTGAGCATGGCGGTAAAATAAAGATAGACGAGAGAATTAGCAAAGTGTGAGAGAGCTTGACTTATAGGAGAGAAGTTTTACTGAGGAGCCGGGAAGGTCCGTTTTCATTTCTGCCTGGGTTGCTAGCATGGCTGTTTGATTCTCACAGACACCCACATTCCCTAGTCCTCTGTCTCCTGTATTTTAAAATGTAGATTGCTGTGCCTTCCCTGTTTGTTTTTAGCAAGGTTGATGTCAAGATAGTATTGCAATAACTTGATAAAGTTGTATGTGAACACAGAATATTAGCATCATCTTTCTTCTTCAGTTCTCCCTTATTTTCTCTGACTGATTTTTTGTTCGTGATTTCTCACTTTTAGCAGGGTGTGTGTTTACCTCCTGTTGTGTTTGTGGATTGTCAATTTTTGTCTTGTAAGTCTGTCTATTTCTGTTTTATATATTTGGAGTGTTTGGCATATATAAATTCTTCATGTTATCATCTTGCTGTTAACCTCTTCATCCTAAATAATACTTCTCATAAAGTTTGCTTTGCCTGATATCAAAATAGCTATCCCAGCTTTCCGTTGGATAACTTTTGCTTGCTGTATTTTTCCAGTCTTTTCTGTTTCAGAATTACTTTGTAAATGGTATATATTTAAATTTTAAAAATTAAATCTAACAATCTTTGTGTTTTAACCAAGGACTTTAATAAACTAATGTAAAGATACTTGACTCCTGATGTATTGAATTATTTTCTACCATCCATCTTACATTGTGATTTCTATTTGCACAGTTTTATCCCCCTTTTCTTCCATTTATTATTGTTTTTTCTTTTCTGCCATCTGCTGTATTGATGAAGTCTTCATTTTCATTTTCCCTGTATTTTACAATCTAACCATCTAAAGCTATTTAATATATAACTTTTCTTCTAAGCATTGGTTTAGCCACATGCCACAAGTTTTAATGGGTTGTATTTTCATTGTCATTCAGTTCAAATATTTTTAAATGTTTTTCTGTGATGAAGGGTAGCCAACTATGTGACTCCAAAATATACCATATGGCATAAGGATTATTTTGAGCTGACGACAGTTTAGGAAAAGCAGATACTATTGATAGAAAAGCTCTTACCCTTCCCATATTTGCCAAGGCAGGACATGCATTTGTAAAGGTGTCTGCCCTTCTCTCTACCAGGAAGAACAGACCTAATCCCCTGAGACAACCTAGAGTTTTATTAGCCGGGAGGAGCCAGAGAAATCTACCTAACAAACCTTACTCACTAGCCCTTATCTTTCATTAGTTTCCTCGTATATTTACCTTCCTGCAATTTGCCTCCCCTAAAAACTCAAAGTATTTTATCTTGTCTTGTCACTTCTCTAAACATTTATTGCTCTGTTGCTAAGATGCTCTAGAATCCCAAGTTCTAACCACCCTCAGAGTTCCTCATCCCTGAGTTATCCTGCGGGCGTGCAGGATGCACCGGCCAACAAACTTGTGTTTGTTTTTCTCTTGTTAGTCTGTCTTCTGTCAATCTAATTTACAGGGCCCCAGCTAGGAGGGTGGAGAGAAGCCAGGAGAGTAGAGGGAAAAATTTTTTTCACTTTTCCCTTTGTAAATCTGGTGACGATACATTATCTTAGTTTTCTTTTATCTGACAATGTCTTTACTTCCTTTTTACCATTGGAGAATAAGTTTTCTGGGTATGGAATTCTGGATTAGCAGAGCTTTCTCTTTTCTTTTGGCATTATAAATACATTGTTTCCTCATCTCCTCCATTCCATTTCTGATGAGTATATAGTCATTCAATTTTTTCCCTGCATCTAATATATCATTTTTCTCTGGTTGCTTCAAAATTTTCTCTTTCTCTTTGACTTTCAGCAGTTTGGATATAATGGGCCTTGGTATGGACAAATTTATTATGTCTAGAGTCTGCTAAGGTTTTTAAACTTGTGAATGTCCTCGTTCACCAAATTTGGGAGGTTAACTACCATTTTTTATTCAAATGTTTTTCTGCCCCAATTTGTATCTCCTCTTTTTCTGGGACTCCAGTTATCAACATGTTGGCTGTTCTGAAATTGTCCCACTAGCCTCCGAGGCTCTGTTAATTTTTATCTGTCTCTTTTTTCCCTTCTTCTTCTGATTGGATTATTTCTATTGTTCTACTTTCAGGTTCACTGAATCTTTTCTGTGATCTCCGTTTGCCATTATATTAAGCCTGATTATTTTTATTTCAGATGTAATATTTTTCAATTCTAAAATTTTATTTTAAAAAATATTTTCTATTTATTTGCTAATATTTTATATCATTTCCCTCATTAAGAACATGTACTTTACCCCACTGAGCATAGTTAACATTGCCGTTTGTCTGATAGTTCCAACAGCTGGGTCCTCTTGGATTTGGCATCTGTTGAATGTATTTTCCCTTAAATCTGGGTCACATTTTCTTGGCTTTCCATACCCTGAAAAATTTTGGATTCTCTCCTGGGCATTTTAAATGTTAGGTGGTTAGAGATTCTGCCTCTGTTCTATTGGTCTTAAGAGTGTTGATGATTCTGTTCTAGCAGAATTTCACCGCCAAACTGCAAACCGTCGTGGCTCTGCTTTTAATTTATCTCACATGGATATATTTCAGGTGTCCGCCAGAGGTTTGGGCTAATTTTGTACACAGAATCTAGGCTTCTACTTCTCTGGGTCTCTTCTCTCTGGAATTTTCCCTTTACTCCGCAGGAATCCTGTTTTTCGATCCTGTTTTTCCCTGGCTCCTCAGGCCGGAGAGACAATGGGCTACCGGTGGGGTTTTTTTTTTTTTTTTTTTAGAACAAACATTTTACTATTAAAATAAACTTTTGTATAAAAGCATTACAGATCAAAAGCTGTATTTGCGCTTACTGATTCAAGGTCCAATACAGTGGGGTTTTAGCTGCTTTGCACTACTGCCTCCATCATGGCCCCAAGTGTAGCCACCCTCGGGGCCAAGCCAATAAAATATGGGGAACTCACTCCTTGGCAGTCACTTAAGTCACTTGCTCCAAATTTTGACTGCTCTCCAAAATCTGTCTGTCTTTGTTCAGTCACAAAATCTCTCTAGGAGCTGTTTCATTTTTATTTTATTCTTCTATCTGTCCAGTGTTTATAGATGCTATTTGTGTAAGGATTGGTTTGTTAGGTCCTCATTCCTCTATATGGAAAGTGGAACGTCCCCCTATGATATTATGTTTTATTTTCTGTCTTTTAATGGTTATTTGCAAATTTTTGGGTATGTATTTGATGTAAGGAAGTTTAATCAGTATAGCTATCCTCATCTTGAACAATAAAAAGGATCTCAGACCAATTATGAAAATTAATTTTCTTCTTATATGCTATTGTTGTCTAATGTTTCAGGTCCATCTTAACTGTTCACCTTAGTTGTATCAACCAAGTTAGTCACTGATATGATTTTATACACTCAATACTTGTTTAGATTTACCCAAACGTTGATCAATTTCTTTGCTTGCCACTGTTCTTTGAATCCTACTCCTTCCCTCTGGCTTCAATTTCTGTCTACCTGAAGAACTTCCTTTATTATTCAGTGAGGCTCCTGAATCATAAACTTTCACAATCTCATTTGTCTAAAAAGTCTTTATTTTTTTCCTATAGTTTATCAGGCAATGCACTTCTAGATTAGCAGACATTTTCTCCCAACAGGGGCAAGATATTATTACACTGTATTCGGGCAAGATATTATTCCACTGCCTTGTCTTCTGGTTGAATTGTTGCTATAGAGGTCTTCTGTAGGTCTAAATGTTATCCTCGTTTAGATAATTCATCTTTTATTGCTGGATGCTTTTGATATCATCTTCTTTTTGCCTTTGGTGTTCTGCATTTTCATGAAAATATTTTTATATTTCCTGCTTGGTATTTATTTTGTTTCTCAGATTCAAGGATTTATTAATTTAATGATTCTGGAAATTTACTAGTTTTTATCTCTTTGGTATTGCCTCTCTCCCATTCTCTGTTATTTCCTTTGGTGTTCCTACTTGACATAAACACAAAGTTGTGGTTGCTTTATAATGTGCTAATGGGGCTAAGCTGAATTCTGCTTCCCAGAATTACCTTCCCTGTATGCTTCTGGTTAGGGGTTGGCCAGAACTCCTAAAAGAAATCTGTGTGACTGGAAAAGTTGAAGGGAGAGATGTGGGTCCCGCTGCTGCCCAAGCTAAAAGGTGGACCCCGACTGATACAGAGGACTTCTCATTTTCTCCCTAAATGTCTTAAATTCCCTTCCATGTTTCTTATTTATTTTGGTTCTTTGTGTTATATCTGTAACATAATTATGTTACATCTAATTTCCAGTTCACTGGTTCTTTCTTTAACCTCTTCTAATGCATTATCTTTCTTTTTACATTTCAGTTACTTTATCTTTTATTTCAAGAAGTGTTATTTATTTTAAAAATTATTTTTAAAATCTGCCTATTTAAAAATGTGTCTCTTTTCTTGTGATTTCGATCTCCTCTTTTATGCCACTTCAATAATTAAAAAATGTGTATTTGTTCTAAGGTGGATGCAAAGTCCAGGGAAAATAATTTCTAATAGGTCTTAGGGAGAAAGATTTGGAGAACCTGTATATCAGAAAGGAGTGGGAAAATTGCAGTATGGTGATTATGCTATTATTGCAGGAGTGCTAATTAAGAGCTAACAAATTTCTCTTATCCAAATTTCTTAGAGTTCCAATCCTTCAATTTGTGTGTGTGTGTGTGAGCTGACTCTCATTCATGTTGAGCTGTTTCTTTGCATATTGATTAATTTGGATTATTGGCTCATTTTAAGAGCTCTAGTAAGCTTTCCTTGTAGAAATACATTGTGTTTGTTCCCTCTAGTTTCCCTGGGGAAACAGGATGCTTTGGGCCAATTTTCATGTTAGTTTCTCAGTTTGGAAGTTCTTGGACCACAGTGATGGTGTTTAAAATCAAACCTTAAGCCTGAGGGGCACAACTAATGTTTCAATTTCTTTGGTGAAGACTTTTTTTTTTCCTCCTAGAAACTAGGCAGGGGCAAATTTTTCTATGCCACTGGTGATTTTTTAAAATTTGTTTTTATTTTTTTTAGTCCATCATCTTATTAAGGTTGTGCTTCTCTAGAGTACTTTTAGCAGGCATCTCAGTTCTAATATGTAACCTTGTATCGGCCCAGCACCCCCTTTCCTGGCCCCCTGTAGATGTTAAAACCAATGTCCCTGAGTAATCTTCCCCCAGGGCAAATATGGCCTCAGTTTATATATTTGTAACTTTAATTTTTAGTTCTTTCATGTCCTTGTACCAGGAGATAGTCTCTTACTCATTTCCTCTTGCAAGCTCAGAAATACTATAAACTGATGTATTTTTATCCAGAATGTGTAATGTGTTCATAGTGAAAAGTTTTAGATTATCACAGTCTGTCATCTTGCCCAAATTCAAAGTTCTTATTTCTCTCATGCTCTTTCTATCATACCACAAAAGAGGGGAAAAGGGAAAGGAAACTTGGTGTTACGAAAGGAAAGCTTTCAGTCATAGCTTCTGGTTTCCTGTCTTCATTCCTTCATTTGTTCATTCATTCATTCATTCGTTCATTCATTCATTCATTATATATCATCGCAGACTCTGTATTTGCAATTTACTTATTCGCTACAATTTGTTTGTAATTCCAAGATTAATACTCCTGGCACTTTTGTGGTGATTCACAGATATGCAAATGTACAGAGTGGTATAAAATTTGAGTCACCTGATGTGCACATTCTCAGCTAAGGTTGGACAAGGCGACTCTCTGCCTTCCTGTTTTGGCTTTCATACTGTAAACAAGTGTTGGTTTTGCAGTATATTTAGCACCATGTTCATTTATTTATTTTTGTGTTTTTGTGCTTTTTGTTGGTGTTTTTGCTTTTTAAAATGGCACCTAAGTACAGTGCTGAAGTAGTGTCTGATGTTCCTAAGAAGGCTGAGATGTGCCTCATGGAGAAAGTACATGTGATTGACAGGCTTCATTCATGCATGAGATGTGCTGGTGGCCATGAGTTCAATGTTAACGAATCAACAATAGACATTAAGTAAGGTGTCTTTAAACAGAAAGTCACATAAAACACAGTTATGTGGTGGTCAGTTAACAAAAATGTGACCAGAGGCTCATGGAAACTTGATCCCTCGGAGAAATGGTGCAGTCTTTGCTAATTCACTGTTCACAGTGACTTTATAGACCATAACTACCACAAATCATGAGAAGGAGCTAGAATTGCTAAGTTCCTACTGAAGTACACGAATTCTGCTGGTTGTACGTACTTGTCCCTGGGGATTCCATGGGGGGTCAATGTTAGCCTCCAGCTGCTTATTGTAAAATAGACAAATGCAAGGACGGGTGGTGACTAGCTCCAAAGCCTAGGCCTGCCACGGGAAACCGAGCAAGAATCACGGCAAATAGTCGCATGCTGGTTTTTATTCTTTATTGATTAATTGGTTGATGGATGGATTGAGCACTGTAGACATGGGGACAGAGGTTCCAGGAACAGTTTTAGTGCCAGAGGCAGTGGCTAGCAGGGAAAGAATGGTAAAGGTGAGTGCTTGGGAAAATTTGGAAGAATCGACCACCGCAATCACTCATCTTCTGCCTCCATGGAGAATTTGGGGAGAACTCACAAACCTGAAATTCTGCTTAGGAGCAGGCTGTGCAGTTTTTATCAGTAGTGAAAACGTAGATGCTTACGTGCATCTGTTGGTATGAATCACTATGTCAAGTGAATAGACTATTGCGATTGGGCCCAGGGTTGGGAAAGTGGCATGTTAGAAGCCATGCATGGCTATCCAAAAAGGCACACCCACCTGCCCCCCAGAGAAAGACAGAAAGCTTTTGATTCTCTGTATCCTGTGGCCCTGATAGAGGCAGCTACATCTTTCCCCAAGGCCCCTGGGAGCGTTGCTCTATGAGTCAACCAGCCACAGAAGTCCAATAGAGGGTTCCATAAGGCTTTTGCTAAGCCACTAGTGCCCCTGGACATGAGATAGGCCTGAGCTTCCCCGCCTGTGTTCAGTGCTGCTCCTGGTTCTAAGGTAGATGCAAAGTCCAGTGAAAATAATTTCTAGTAGGTCCTGGGCAGGAAGTTTTGGAGAATCTATGTATCAGAGAGGCCTGGGAAAACTGCAGCGTGATGATTGTGCTATTATTGCAGAAGTACTAATTAGGAGCTAACAAATCAGTCCTGCATGTTGAGAGAAACATGAGTCAAAGCCAGACTAGAACAACTTTACCTGGTTAAAAGCAGGCTGTTGGTAGGAGGGAGAAGAAATATGGAGAAGGCAAGAATAGAAATGTCAGTGGGACTTTGGCAAAAAGACTGGAAGAAGAAGTAAGGGTTTTAGTTGTATCTCTGACTTTCTGGGCTGTGATCTCATGATATAGTTTTGGCAGTTTTGATGCAGATTATTAGATTCATTTGCATCAAAGAGACAGTGAATTTTAAATACATCCTTGGGTAGACGGGATGGTTATTTTCATGCACTGATATCCTCCTGTATGTGTAGAAACAGTAGGAAATTACAGCAATTATCCTGCTAAGAAAGAACAGGCATTTATTTGTCTGCCTCCCTCGCTAGATTTTGGGTTCCTCGAAGGCAAAGATTCCTCCCTAAACCACACTCACCCCTTATGCCTCTGTAGGCCAGTGTAGTGCCTGACATACAGCAGCTGCTCAGTGACTGAATGTGGAAGTGAAAAGAACTTTCGAATGCCTTAAATGCAAAATTGGCTCCTGGTGAGAACTGAATAGATTGGTGAAGTTAGGGTATTTGCTTAGAATGCTAGAATTTTAAAAAATATGATTTGGAAGATTGTGCTAAATAGTCTGCAACTTTCCAAATCATATCATTATCCAAACCTTCAAAATCAAATCAAATCATATCGTTATACAGCCCCTTCCAAATCAAGGGGCTGTATAATGAGAGCTTCTTTTCATAATTTTTCTCTAGCTCTATGCTGTCCTGTATGATAGCAGTTAGCCACATGTGGCACTTGAAATGGGATCAGTTTAAATCGAGATGGGCTTTGAGTGGAAAAGCCACACTGGATTTCAAAGACGTAGATTAAAAAAAGGTAAAATGTCTCCTTAATTTTTAATATACTTATTTATTGAAATGAAAGTACTTTGAATATATTGGGTTAAATAAAATGTATCACTCAAATTAATTTCACTGATTTCTTTTTTACCTGTAAAATCTGGCTACTAAAATTAAAATTTCACATAACATTATCACATTATGTTTCTGTCGGGCAGTGCTCTTCTAGGTGAATAATGCACTTTCGGGGGTCAAAACTGCTGTGGAAAAACACTGTGTGCTTTGAAATCAGGAGGGTTTGTTGTTACCACCTGGCTGGGCTGCATTTTAAAGTGAAAGATCCGATCCTTTGCCAGTTATTTAGGTTCTTTGGGTTTCAGATTCCTCATCAGTAAGTGAGGATAATTGTACCCAGCATGTCCGGCTGCTGTGAGAATCAAGTGAGATAATGTATGTTATTTTCTAGCACAGGATCTAGGCTGAGAAAGGTGCTTACAAGATGTCAACTCCCTCCCTCTCTTCTTGGCAACTGAAATAAGAAGTCTGCTAACTTAAGCAATAATGCCACTGTGGATGAGAGCACCATACCCTTGGTGGCTTTGAATATTAATATTAAGACAGTATTTTCTCATTTGTTTTAATTTGCTTTTCTTGGTATTCATGAGGTGGGACATTTTGCCGGCACTGCTGGTGGTAGCGTAAAAGTTTTCTGGAAAGATTTCATCAAGAATCTGCAAAACATTCATTTACCCTTTTATCCAATAATCTGTTTTCTCTGAATTGATTTTTAAAAAATGGACACATAGATAAAGAGAATGTTTAAGAATCTAAGGTGTGCTCAGAAATTTTTATTTTTCAGATCAGATTAAACTTGTTAAGTGTAAGTTAAATTGGATTTTTTTTTTTTTGGCAGCCGGGAACTGAGGACTGGAAAGGATGGCTCTGTGTGTGGGGAGGATGGAGGGCCATGCAGGGCTTGCTTGAGCTGAGGCCGGGCAGTGGGGCTCCCTGCTGTGACGTGCCCTCTCCCACATTGGGCCTCACTCACCTTTCTGTTCTCATCCCCTTTTTCTCCATTTTTGTTCTCTCTCCTTCCTGCCCACCACCCACTTTTTTAAAAAAAATCTTATAGCTTCTTTCCCCTGTTAGTACAATTTTTAAAAAATTTAGATCCAGGGGGTAGATGTATAGGTTTTGTTACATGGGTATATTGCATGATGCTGAGGTTTGGGCTTCTAATAATCCTGTCACCCAAATAGTGAACATGGTACCCGATAGGTATTTTTCAACCTTTCCCCCCTTCTTTCCCCATATTTGGAGTCCCCCATGTCTATTTTTCTCGTCTTTATTGGGTGCATGTGTACCCAATGTTTAGCTCCCACTTATACCTGAGGACATGCAGTATTTGGTTTTCTATTTCTCTGTTAATTCACTTAGGATAATGCCCTCCAGTTGCCTCCATATTGCTGCAAAAGACATGATGTCATTTTTTAATGGCCATGTTATAATCCCTGCCACCACCCACGTTTAGCCTGATGAATGTTTTTTGTTTGTTTCTTGGGTAGAGGAGACCCTCATTTTGACTCTTTATGATTTTCCTAAACCTTGGTTTTATTTCCTGTCTTCTATGTTTGGGTCTTTGGAAACCAAAGCCAGGAAAACTTCTTGTTTATCTCCCTATCCCATCCCTCCCTAGAGTTTATTGACATCAGCCTAGCCCAACTGATGGAAAAGGAGATGTGGAGAGAAAAGTGACGTCTTGATATTATCGCTCTGCACACATTATGGAGATATGGGAGGGCAAGACCTTTGCTCAGGAGTCTCTGTTGCTCACTTGCTTAATTTGCAGAGTAATTAATTTCCTTATGGTTATAAGTGTGGTAAATAAAAAGGTACTGTAATTCATAAACAGGATATTGATTATTTGGGCGGTAGATTGAAAGTAATAAGGGGAAAATTATCCCAGGAGCAGGATCTTTTTCTAGACTCTGCTAACCCTCATCCTCTAAAAGGAGGGGCATTAGTGGAGCAGGCCTCATGCCTGTGCCTCCCACAGAAAGGAACTTTAAATCTAAGAATTATGAACTACTGCTGCCATAAGTGAAGAAACACGTGAGGGCCTCCGTTTTCCATCTAAAAGATGAACTCAGAAACACACTGCAAAGATCAAAATAGATATTTGCAAATGTATCCTCAGGAGATAGGATGCTTGATGCTTTCCTTTGTAAAGTTTTTCTATTGCAAAAGTTTTAAACTCTGGTGTCCTCATTAAGAGGGGGAGAGAAAAGCTCTAGATCATAGAATAATGAAAAATACAAGGCTCATTTATTTTAGCATGCTGTTAAGCATGTATGTATTCACAGCATGGTTTGCATGCCTGTGTGTGTGTGTGTGTGTGTGTGATCTATTTGAAATATTGCTGATAAACTGGAGCTTGATTTAAAAAGACTGAATAAGATGATGAAGGACCTGAAAATATATTGCAGTGGCTAAATAAATTGGAGAGATTTGTCTGAACAAGAGAGGAGAGAGGAGATAAATGTTAGCCAATATTGGAAGGGCTTCATTT
This sequence comes from Homo sapiens, assembly GCF_000001405.40. NCBI lineage: Eukaryota > Metazoa > Chordata > Mammalia > Primates > Hominidae > Homo > Homo sapiens. The sequence goes on along the minus strand of NC_000010.11, from coordinate 5,351,332 downwards.
GAAAGAGGTGGTGCTTTTTTAAAAAATGTCATTCCACTTGATAGAAATAGGTTTAATAAATAAGAATTACCAAGGAACAAAATTTTCTTAGGACTGAACCTTTAGATTCCTCCTCCCTCACCAAAAAAGTGCAAAAAAGTGTCTGTCCCTGTCACTGAAAGTGAAGAGTGACGCAGTGACCATCTACCAGGATACTGAAGCTTTCTAAGTGGGGTTGGGTGGGAGTGGAAGCGAGGGGGTGTCGAGGAGGTGGACTTTCATGTTGCCGTCCATGCTATAATCAGGATGTCGACTTTTCTCGGTTTTATATACTGGGGCTTTGCACAAAATGTTATTTGGAACTAGGCTTTTATTACTACATCAAATTAAATGAAATAAACCCAAACCAAAATGAAACAACCTTTCCAAGCCACCAGTCTGAAAAAGCCGATGCTGGAAACAGGATTGGGTCAATGTGAGCTGCGCCATGGTGGGTGCTAAGGTGGTTTTGAGTCTGTGTGTGCGCATGTGTGCACGTGTGTGCATGCAGCTCTCATTGAATATTAGTCACACTGGGAGTCCATTGTGGACTGTGAAAGGGACGCAAGTCACTTGGTTCCTAGACCTGTGTGCTAGATATTTTCACCTGTTTACTCTGCAAAATCTAGAATGAGATAGAACTAGTGAAATTATGCACAGTTGACCCTTGAACAACACAAATTTGAACTGCGTAGGTTCACTCACACTCAGACTTTTTTCTGTCTCTGCCACCCCCGAGACGGCAAGACCAACCCCTACCGTTTCTTCTAGTCATCAACCTCCTCAATGTGGAGATGAGTGTGATAAAGACCTTTATGATGATCCATTTCTATTTAATGAATAGTAAATATGTTTTCTCTTTGTTATGATTTTCTTAATAACATTTTCTTTTCTCTAGCTTGCTTTATTGTAAAAATACAGTATATTATGCACATAACATGCAAAATACATGTGAATCAATTGTTTATATTGTTAGTAAGACTTCTGGTCAATAGTAGGTAGGTAAGTTTTCGGGAGGTAAAAGTTATACAAAGATTTTGGACTGCACAATGGGTAGGCACCCCTCACCCCCACATTGTTCAAAAGTCGACTGTATATGTTAGTTGCAATCACGTGTACCTGAACAGATACTCTTCTGATATTTTAAATGCTTTTGTTTTTTGTTAACTTTTCTAGAATCATAGAATGTTTAGCCTGAAAGGGACCTCATCATCTAGTTCGGTCTCTTCATTTTTCGGAAGAGGACACTGAGGCCCAGATGTGTTAAATCACTTGGGTGGCTCTGTAGTCAGGCGATGGTCAGAGCACAGGGCTCCTGACATCAGCATGTCTGAGGGTCATGTTTTTGCTGGATGACTCTGCCTTTCTGACGGCAAGGAGAGAACAGAACTTTACAGCAAGAGTGGGTGATTATTTGAGACGTGGAGCCTGTAATTGAAGATAATATTATAGAAATGAAATAAAAATGAGAGATTATTAGATATTTATTTAAAAAGACAAGTATGGGGAGGCAGATGATACTGAGATTATATTTTATCTCTAACAATTGAGGGAGCCTGAAGGATGTGTGTTTTGTTCTATGAAGATCCAGGGCTAGGTTAAAAGGTAGCAGCATCACTAATAGTTTGCTTTCAATAGTGCAAAACCATGCAAAATTAATTTTCATTGTAAAAGCAGAAGGAGCAATTTAAATGGAAAGGATTATGCTTGTGTGTGTATGTGTGTGTATGTGTGTGCATGTGTTCTAACAGAGAGAGTAAGGAAGAGTAAACAATGACTAAATCTGCAATTTTTGCCAGTAATTTTTTTTTTTTGAGAGAGAGCCTCACTCTGTCGCCCAGGTTGGAGTGCAATGGTGCTATCTCAGCTCACTGCAATCTCTGCCTCCTGGGTTCAAGTGATTCTCCTGCATCAGCCTCCCGAGTAGCTGGGTCTAGAGGTGTGTGCCACCATGCCTGGCTAATTTTTGTATTTTTAGTACAGATTGGGTTTCACTATGTTGCCCAGGCTGGTCTTGAAATCCTGACCTCAAGTGATCTGCTGGCCTTGGCCTCCCAAAGTGCTGGGATTATAGGGGGAGCCACTGCACCAGGCCTTTACCAGTAATTATTATGAGGGTAGGGATAGAAGCTGCTGTAAGTTAGGAAAACAGGCTCCTAGGATGCCACAACCCCAGGCAGAATGGACAGCCCTCAATTACTGATGTTCTGCCTGGCTTTCCTGCATACCACTTTGCTAGTTGTGCTTCCAGCCAGCAATGCTCTCATAACTCCAAGGAAAAGGTAGAACATGAGTAGGATGAAAAGCAGATATCTTGACAAAGCTTTTCTTCTTTATTCTACCATTGTAGAAACCTTCAATAAATTGAGGCATCCTTTCAAAACACGTTTATTAAATATCTGTTATGTATGAGAAATATAGGTACTAAATACGCTAGTATTTAGTCCTAAGTATTCCAGGATCTGGCTACTCAAAGTGTGGTCCATGGACCAGCAGCATCAGCACCATTGGGAACGTGCTAGAAGGTCCCACTCCAGACCTACAGAGTCATAATCTGCATTTTATCAAGAACCTTAGGCAAGAAGTTCAGCTATAGGAAGCATCGACCAGTGGCTTTATTATAGGAGTGTTTTTGAAGACTAACTTGAGAAATCACACAATATAATGAGAAACAAGCCCTCAAGAAGATTAGAAATGGTCAACTTTTTAATTCGTCATGGAACTTAGCTTGACTTCACTGCAGTAAAAACTGATGAGAATATCACTCTGGTCCCATTAGGGTATGTGGCTTTGCAAAGGACATCCGAAGCATGAAAGTGGGAGAACGTAACAGTGCTGCTTAGCAGTTCATGTAAGACTTCCCCAGAAATAGAGGGGTCCCAAGTTATTGAGGCGAGGGCCAAAAGGAACTTTTAGCCTGAGGACGCTTGGGTTCCATGCGTTTGTAGCCATAGCATAGCTATTATTTGATATTCTGCCTTTTATTTTCATTCCCACTGCATTTTCAAACATTAAAAAGTCAACTCTTTCTGCTCACCTGAGACTGATTTTCCCACTCGGTGTCGTGGGAGTAATTGCATTACTGTTCTCATTTCACACTCTGCGTGTCAGGTGGACGGCCCACTGAGCCCCCGGGGCTCCTCAAGCTCCCTGCAGAAAAGGCGCTTGAACACTCATCTCGGTAAGCAATGGGCATGCGGGCAGGTCCTGGCATTTGCGGAAAGTTCACTGACATCAAGCCCACATGAAACGCAGAGAAATCTGGGCTGAACCCGAGCTGCAAATGAGAACATCGCTGCTCTCTAGAGCCTCTCTCAGCAGCTCAGGAGTGAAAATGAGATTTCCTAAAACAATCATTCATTGTCCATTCCCGACTTGCTTATCTTTCTCTCCTAGGCTTATTTTCAAACATTCACATTTTGTTATGAAGAGAGACTAAACCAGTCTCCATTATTTTAACATAGTCTTTTGAAGGCTAGAAGTTCTACATTTTGTCCAGGCGTGGTGGCTCACAACTGTAGTCCCAGCACTTTGGAAGGCCGAGGTGGGCGGATCACCTAAGGTCAGGAGTTCGACACCAGCCTGGCCAACATGGTGAAACCCCGTCTCTACTAAAAATAAAAAAATTAGCCAGGCGCGGTGGTGGGTGCCTGTAGTCCCAGCTACTCGGGAGGCTGAGGCAGGACAATTGCTTGAACCCGGGAGGCGGAGGTTGCAGTGAGCTGAGATTGCACCACTGCACTCCAGCCTGGGCAACAGAGAAAGGCTCCATCTCAAAAAAAACTTCCCAGTTTTAATGTTGATTATGATAAGTATTAATAGATATAGCCCCCATAAACAAGAGCTCTTTGGGGTCCTCTTCAGAGTGTAAAGGGGTCCTGAGACCAAAAGTTTGAGAACCACTGCTATCAACAGTGGATATTATAGGACATGAGCACCAGCATTTTCTGTAATTGTATGAGCCAAGTGCTCTGTGGGGAAAGATCCTTGTGCAAGTTAAGGAAAGGTTGTTTTAAGATCAGTTTGGCTTTAATTAAATACTTGGGTTGAGTCAGGCTTTCCAATGGACCCTAATGACAATTGCTCCCTATTGGGTACTATTATTTATTAGACTCACAGGCAATGCCACTTATTCCAGCAGGTGCTTTAGACCCACTTTATTCTGGAGCGGTGCTCAGTGAGAGGAAGGTGAGCCTTCCCAGATGAGTTGGAAATGCCCCAGGCCTCTGGTTTCTGGCTGGTTGATGAGTGTCATTGCATGCTCACCGGTTCAGGAGCCACTTGACTACTTTTTGGACTTGGTTTGTGTCCATGGATCTGGAGTCCCAGACTAAAAACCGTTTTCTTTGTCACCAGTCACGGGGATAGTTCTTTGCTGAGTGCTAAAGCAGGCCTCTGATTCCTTTACCTCTCTTCCTGCTGAGGCATTCCTGACGGAAGCTCTGTGCTCACCTGGCTCTGTGGTCCTCAGTCATGTCTCCCCTGCCCTAACCTTTCCTAGCACTCCTCCACAGAGTGTGGTCGGGGGAGCATTAGATGCAAATGAGGATTCCTCAGTCTCTGAAATAGACTTTTTGCAGAAATGTTTGCAAGAGGGGAGCAGGTGGGAGAAGAGCCTAAATGTCAGTAATAAATATGTTGTAGTTTTCAACAAAGGACGGGGTTCAGAGATACCCGGTGTGGTCATTTGCCATTTCAAAATTACAGGGCTGGTTAATTGTCCCACTCGGAAGAAGAATATGATGGATTTTCTAAAAGTGCATTTTACATTACAAAAGAAGCCTGAGTTCCTGGTAAGGTCATTTATTTGCATAAATATTGATTGAGTGGCTGTAGGTGTGAGAGGCAGCCCTGACTTCTGGGGATTGAGACAGGCTTCACAGTCAAGATGCTTGCTCCCAGAATAGCATCTCTCAGAATAATCTAGAAATTTATTTCCTGTTGAAATGGATAATTTCCATTCATTTTTTTAATCCTCACATGTCAGGTTATGTGTCTAAGAACTGTTGGATCAAGGTATCTATACTTTGATACTTTATAAAAATATTGTAATATTTAATAAAGATTGCCAATTTTCCCTCTTCAGTGGTTGTGCCAATTTACAGTCCAGGCAGCATTAACAAGACTGAGATTTAAGGTCCATTGAACCTGATCTTTGGGAAGACAGCTGGTGTGGCAGTGAGGGGACTGCCTGCAGCTATGGAGGGGAGCCCATCTGCTAGGAAGATGTCCAGGAGGGGACTCTATCCAGTGTTGGGGCCAGGGAGAGGTTCTTGGACACCTAGGCTGATATTTAATTTGGGAATTGGAGGAGGACTGATCCATTTCCAGCGGGAAAGAAGTTCATCATTTACTTGGAGCAATGCTGCTGTCTTCTTGTCTCAAATTCCTTTCTCTTAATATTTGTTATCTGTTTTTACTGATGCCTAATAATTGGGGTACATGCAATATGTACCAGTAAGTAGCAATGGGGTTTCGATACATGCATACACTGTGCAATGATCAAATCATAGTATTTAGGATATCCATCACCTCAAGCATGTATCATTTCTTTGTGTTGGGAACGTGTAGAATCTTTTCTTCTGGCTACTTGGAAATATACTGTAAGTTGTGGTTAACTGTAGTCATCCTACTGTGTTATAGAACACTAGACTTTATTCCTTCTATTTAACTGTATTTCTTTTTTTGTTTTAATTTTATTATTATACTTTAAGTTTTAGGGTACACGTGCACAATGTGCAGGTTTGTTACATATGTATACATGTGCCATGTTGGTGTGCTGCACCCATTAACTCATCGCTTAGCATTAGGTATATCTCCTAATGCTATCCCTCCCCCATCCCCGCACCCCACAACAGTCCCCAGAGTGTGATGTTCCCCTTCCTGTGTCCATGTGTTCTCATTGTTCAATTCCCACCTATGAGTGAGAACATGCGGTGTTTGGTTTTTTGTCCTTGTGATAGTTTGCTGAGAATGATGGTTTCCAGTTTCATCCATGTCCCTACAAAGGACATCAACTCTTCATTTTTTATGGCTGCATAGTATTCCATGGTGTATATGTGCCACATTTTCTTAATCCAGTCTATTGTTGTTGGACATTTGGCTTGGTTCCAAGTCTTTGCTATTGTGAATAGTGCCGCAATAAACATACGTGTGCATGTGTCTTCATAGCAGCATGATTTATAATCCTTTGGGTATATACCCAGTAATGGGATGGCTGGGTCAAATGGTATTTCTAGTTCTAGATCCATTTAACTGTATTTCTGTGCCCATTAACCAATCTCTGTTTAATCCCCACCCCTGTATTTCTGTACCCATTAACCAATCTCTCTTTAATCCCCACCTCTTCATAGCCTCTGGTAACCATTAACTACTCTCCTCTCTATACAAGTGCTTCTATATTTAATTCTTCCTTCCAGAGAAGAAGGCAGGGAAAAGTATTGTGAAAGTTTGGTAAACTTAAAGATGTGTTACTTGTTGTATCATTAACAGAGCTAATATGCAATCTAAAATTATTTACTTGAATAAGTAACTCATCTGTATGTTTAAAAATATGAGAAGTATACAAAGGCACACTGTGAAAAATCTACCTTCCACCCTTGTCCCCTGGCCATCTAATTCTCTCTTGGGAGGAAACCAAACTTACACATTTCTTGTATTTCCTTCTGGGGACACTAAAAAATAACATATATATAATATGTATATATACATGTATATTCTTTTGCCTCCCCTTTTACCACAATGATAAAAAACACTTCCTGAATCTTTCATACTCCAACTTAAGATGTCTCATAATTAATTAAAGCAGTCCCATGTTGATGGTCATTTGAGATGTTTCCAATCCTTTGCAATTACAAGTAAACTTCTGCATATGTATATCTGTAGGATAAGTTCCTAGGAGAGGAATGGCTGGATCAAAGCATCTGTACTTTTTATAATTTTGAAAACTATTGCCAAATCTCCCCCATGGATTATGCCAATCTATACTCTTCAATGGGAATATATGAGAATGCAACCTAAGGCCCAAAGAGTAGAATTTTGGGGATAAAGACAGGAGGAAATAATTATGCAGTAGCAGCAGCAGCTGCTTGGCCTCCTGGTAAGCGTGACACAGCACTGGACAACAATTCCCATGTGGCTGGGCCTGAGGGGTACGTGCCAGCACCAGCCCAGTGTGGATGTTATGGCCAGCACAGAATCTTCACGAGAGCCAACCCTGCAGTTATGTGATCATGACACTCAGAGAACAAAGGACAAATACGGTGCAAACTTTATAATAAAGTTATATTTCTATATCATTATAATCAAAGATTTCAGGCTTACCAGCTGGGAGAGTTTAGATTGATTCCCATTAAAATTAACACAAAATTCTCACTTCCCATAAGCTCCCATCCAACTGAGAAAAGTGGGTCTTTCATAGACCGCCTCCCCAAATATTTCTGGGCTTCTGCTGGGGTGTGTGCATGTGGTAACCAATCATTCCTGCCCACTGCTCACTGCTTCTCTTGCCAGCCGTGACTCTGGGCCATGACTTATAGAATCCACAGGGGGCTCTGCTGCTCCAGGATGGTGACATGTTCATGCCACACGTCCGCTGGTCCAGGAGCACACCATGAAAACCACTAACCACTAATGAGTTCTCAATCTTGGCTGCCCATTCAAATCATCATCTAGAGAGACTTAAAAAATATTCCTCCCTGGCCCCTACCAGCTCAGAATCTCATTTAAAAAGTTTGGAGTGCACCCTCAGATATCAGGATTTCTTAAAAGCTACACAGGTGATTGTAATGTGTAGCCAAGGCTGAAAATCACTGCACCAACCCCCCTAAAATCCTTCTCCAAATTTCCCCCTAAAGGCTCTCTGCTCCAAATTCATTATCCCTAAATGGACCGTGTCTTCTCCCAGCTATGTTTGCCTTTCACCTCTCCATTAGGACACCCCAGCTAAACCTTCCCCGAGTTTACTTCCACCAGCAAATTCATGAGCAGTCTCACTTTTGCGTTACTCATACCTGGCCACACCTCCACCCTAGCTTGCACTGTGATTGTTGGTTTTCTTTTTCCATTTATGATATATAATAATGTTTTATGATCCTAAATGTCTCAAAATGGAGTCACTTGTGACATGTAACTCAGCTGTGAAAAGCAAATAAATCTCAGGACCCAAAATCACTAAGCCAAAGGGAAAAATCAAACTGGGAACTGCATCAGGCAAATGTGCCTCCAATTGTATTCCTAAATAAGATAGTGGTGAAGTTAAAAAAAAAGCTACATGCTTCCCTCACAGTTTTCCCACTAGGAAATGCCTTGTGGACCCCAAGATCTTTACCCAAAAAACCGTTCAGTTGAATTTTACCTTGACAATGTCAATGATAGCTTATATTCACAGGTTTGGGACAAAGGATGGAACTCAAATTTAGCCCTCTGCTCACCTGGGACAAATGTGCATCTGACTGCCTCCTCTGATATAAAAATGCAGATTTGCTGAGCTAGAGGAAGGACTACATGAGTGTTACTCTACCCTTCTTTCACATATAAATTGTATATTTGGTGAATGGAATCCTCTGTCTTTTATCTACCCACATCTTTAAAAAATTTCTTCCTCTTTCTCCAACATCTGCCCTTTCCCCTTTAAATTTTGAATCCCTCAACATCATCTTTGGAGAAAGGCACCTGCCTCCCGGGTGTGCATCCTGAACCTTGGCCAAATAAGCATTCTAAATTGATTGAGACCTGTCTCTGATAATTTTTGGTTGACATGGCCCACAGTGAATTGCTGACCCCTGAAAGTGACAAGCATATGTGTGGTGGACTGAGGTGATGACACCTGCTGTGGCCAGGCACCCCGGAGAACTGACAGGAAAATGAAGCTAAAACATGGCTGAGTTAATGACCATGGACCCTCCTGTGGAGGCCATGAAAACAGCAAAGAGACTAACCCTGGCCAAGATGCCTGCAGAAACTCTGCCCCTGAGAATTCTGAGGCCTTCTGTTGATTTTGGAGGGAAATTTGGACCTGCCTGTCTGGTCAGTTAGTGTGCTGGTCTCCCCACCTACTTACTGCCACGGTTTGTTGCCCCTCTCTCTTATCACTACTTGTGTGTATTGAATATATTTGCATGATTGTTGATGTGTGTGAGCCTCACAATAAACTGTTTGAAAACATCTAATTGGCCACTGAGTCATTACAATGCCCCTCAGACCCCCATCAGAGTTAGCAGAACTAGGCTGATTTGAACCTGATGTGATAGCTTCTCAACCAGAGAAGGATCTATGTCTTGTTCATCTCTGTATCACAGTGCGTGGAAAGTAATAGGTATTTAATAACAGTTTGTTAAATGAATAGTTCTTTATGTAGCTGTTACATTGCAGGCAAGATACCTGAATGGAAAAGGCATCGTGTCGTGAAGACAGAACTGAACTAGGAACCAAAGTGTTTTGGTTGTAGCCTTGGCCGGTGCCTTGGGACTCTGGGGCTAGTTTTGAGGGGGTTGTTTTCATTCATTAATTCACTCCTCCCTACAACCCTACAGGGCAGATATTATCCATCTCAAAGATAAAGAGAATGGAATGATAGTTTTTCCAGTCTGTTGTCTCCAAATATTTCCTTACTTAATCTCTTGTCCGTTACCCCTTACAAGTGATCTCTTGGCTCTGGGGTGCTGGTCTCTTCTGGTTCTCCAACTTCTCTGGCAGGTCCTTCTCAGTCTTAATTCTTTTACTCACAGCCAAGCTTGTCTTGTCATACAGATTTTCTAGGGAGAATTCCAACTAAACTGCAGCTTCTTTCTCTAGGTAGTGACTCCTTGTGTAAATTTATACCCCAGACAGTTCTCCATATGGGGCCACTCAACTGTGCACATCACCTGCATATCCAACTGCTGACTAGATATCACTGCTCCGACGTTCTACAAGCAGGTCAAACTCAATGTTTCCAAAACGCAGCCCAGTGTCTTCCCCCAAGAAGATTTACCGTTACTTCTGTGATCCTTCACTCAATTCCTGGCACCACCTTGGCCTCTTAGTTGCCCAAACATTGGGAGAAATCCTAGATTCCACTTTTTTCCTAGCTCTTAACTGAACAGCTGCCAAGAGCTGATGGATCTACCCTTTAATCCTCTTGTCTATACTCACTGTAGGCTACATGTTCTCTAGTAGGACTTTCCTCTGCCATGTTGCTGAAATGCAGTCTTTTTTTTTTTTTTTTTTTTTTTTTTGAGATGGAGTTTCACTCTTGTTGCCCAGGCTGGAGTGTAATGGCATGACCTTGGCTCACTGAAACCTCCACCTCCAGGGTTCAAGTGATTCTCCTGCCTCAGCCTCTGGAGTAGCTGGGATTACAGGCGCCCACCACCATGCCCGGTTAATTTTTTGTATTTGTAGTAGAGATGGGGTTTCACCATGTTGGCCAGATTGGTCTTGAACTCTTGACCTCAGGTGATCCACCAGCCTCGGCCTCCCACAGTGCTGGGATTACAGGCGTAAGCCACTGTGCCCAGCCTTGCAGTCATTCTTTTTTGCCCTAAAATATTCCAATGGGTTGAAAAAAATCTCCATAGCTAATGCTGGAATTCCTCTTAGGGTAGAAGCTGTCTTTATTTAGAAAAATACCTTGAGGTTTCGGAATAGAATGGGAGAGCCCATGGGCATGAAGTTCAGGAAACACATTTTACTCAATTGCATTGGCATTAGAAATGGAGATTGCTTTTGAGATAGGGTAGAAGAAGCAGAAGAAGAGAAAAGAAGAGGAAAAAGGTTAGAAAGGACACAGTGGGCTAGGCTCCAGCATGGAGGAAAAACTACAAAGCCTCCACTGGCAGAAGAGCCAAAAGGCTTTTTAGGAACTCAGATGTTTTAGGAACTGGCCTGGGCCCCCAGTTTTTAAAAACAGCTTTATTAAGATATATTTCACATACCATATAATTAATCCTTAAAATGCATAATTAATTAAAATATAAATATGTGTAATTTATAGCCACAGATATGTGCAACCATTGCCACAGCCAATTTTTGGATATTTTTCTTTTTTTTTTTTTTGAGACAGCGTGCAGTGGCACAATCTTGGCTAACTGCAACCTCTGCCTCTGAGTTCAAGCGATTCTCCTGTCTCAGACACCTGAGTAGCTGGGATTACAGGCAGGCACTAACATGCCTGGCTAATTTTTGTATTTTTAGTAGAGATGGGGTTTCACCATGTTGGCCAGGCTGGTCTCGAGCTCCTGACCTCCGGTGATCTGCCTGCCTCAGCCTCCCACAGTGCTGGCATTACAGGCGTGAGACACTGCATCTGGCCAATGTTAGGATATTTTCATCATCTCAAAAAGAAATGTGTACCATTCAGCTATCACCACATTATCCCCCAACCTCTCAGCCCTAAGCAACCCCTGGTCTACTTTCTGAATAGGGAAAAAGAGATTTGCCTATTCTGAAGATTTCATAGAAATGGAGTCATGTAATATGTGGTCTTTTGTGTACAATTCAGTGGCACTTAGTACATTCACAATGTGTGCTGTGATCACCTACGTCTCTTTCTAAAACATTTCATCACCCCCAAAGAAAACCCTTTTTCAACTGAGCAGTTACTCCCTATTCCCCTCAACCTCCCCGCCCTTGCCAACTACCAGTCTGCTTTCTGTCTCCATGGACTTACTTATTCTGGATATTTCATATAAATGAAATTGTACACTAAGTGGCTTTCTGTGATTGATGTCTTTTGCTTAGCATTCGGGGTTCGTATATGTTGAAGTATGTATTAGTGTGTCATTGCTTTTCATGGCTGAATAATATTCCATGATATGGATCTATGACATTTTGTTTATCCATACATCAGCTGATGGACACACAGGTTGTATGTCCTGTACAAATAATGCTGTTATAAACATTTGTGTACAAATTTTTGTGTGGACGTGTTTTTATTTCTCTTGGATATATATCTAGGTGTGGGATTGTTGGATCACAGGATAACTTAATTGCTAGAGGAACTGCCTGACTGTTTTCCATCCCCACCAGCAGTGAATGGCCATGCTGACCTTTGGATAAGTGGCATCTTAGTGAGTATAAAGTGGTGGCTCATTGTGGTTTTGATTTGCAGTTCCCAAAGACTAATGATGTTGAGCATCTTTTCAAATGGCATGTGCTTATTGACCATTTGTGCACCTTCCTTAGGGAAATATCTATTCTGATCCTTTGCCCATTAAAAAATTGGGCTATGTGTCCTTTTATTATTGAATTATAAATTCTTTATCATATGTACAATTTGCAAATATTTTTACCCATTCTGTAGGCTATCTTTTCACTTTGTTGATAGTGTTTATTAAAGCACAAAAGTTTTAAATTTGGGTGACATAGAATTTCTTTGTGTATTCTTTTATTGCTTAGGCTTCTGGTGTCACATCCAAGAATTCAGGAGCAAATTGTGGCCACCAGGGCTTCATTTGGCCTTCTACTGGCCAGCTCCTCCCATGGGGTAGTCTGTGGATTCCTATCTGCATTTACAGCCCCCATGTCTTGACCTTGGACTTGTCTGCCAAAGGGCCCCAAGCATGCTTCCTCTGGGTCTTATTTCCTCTGGGTCTGCCCTTTGAGGATGAACCCTTAGGTGGAGAGGTGGCACAGGCAGCTATTTGTGGAGGTGCAGATCAGAAACTTCCTAGGGGCAAATGTCTACCAGTGAAAGAAGCCATGAATGACATGGGCTTAGTACCACTGACCACAGACTGCCTAGAAAGTACTTGGAAGTTATCAGTTGGAGCAAAAAGTGATGGTGGTGAGGAGGTTGCAGGGACAGAATGGGGTAAGATGCTATCAGTTGTCTCAGTGAGGAGGGAGGATGAACACGCTCCTGGGACATAGCACAGTGCCACAAAGGCCAAAGGGCTCCAGACATCACGTACGATGAATCAGTGTGAGCTCCCTAGGTGGGGAGGTGAAGAGAGGTGGCCTGGAGAACCTGCCCAGCCATCAGGATGCTGGCCCACAATGGGCACAAAATACATTAGAAGGAAGGAAGGAAGGTGGGAGAGGAGGGAGGGAAGGAAATAAGGAAGGAAGAAAGGAAGGAGGGAGGGAGGGAAAGAAGGAAGGAAAGAAGGAAGGGAGGAGGGAAGGAAGGAGGAAAGGAAGCAGAGGAGGAAGGAAGGAAGGAAAGAAGTTTCAGAAACAAAGAAAGGAGGGAAGGAAGGAAGGAGGGAAGCAGGGAAGGAAGGAGGGAAGCAGGGAAGGAAGGAGTTAGGAAACAGCCTCCCTAGTTCCCTTATACATAAAGGAAGTTCACTTATGAAGAAATAAAGAAGGTTTTTATAAAATATTAAAAGCTTCTGATTGATCATCAACAGAATTAAAAGTTAGTTGGATTTGAGGGCAAGGAAAGGGACCTCCTATCCGAAATGGCTTCCTTACTATGTACCACATTGCCTCTGAGTGCCCATGAGAGAGGATTCCTTTCGTAAGATGGAAAGAAATGGGTGGTAAGATTTGCGAGTCAGTTGGAATGGGCCTCAAGATTGCTTTCCTTGGATGGAAACAGGGAGCATCAGGGAGGTACTTGGTTCTGGAAGGAGAGTGATGTGAGATGGAGGCAGGGAAGGAAAAGTCCCACACAGAAGGCCGGGAGCTTTCCCACAGCTTTCCTAGGACCGGCCTGGATTTCTTCCCCACATGTCAGATGGGGCTGGCTCCGCGGGGCCCCCCTCACACGGCTTTCACAGGCCTGGTAACTGTTCTCAGCATTTTATCTTGGCCATTGCACACACTTTGCAGGAAGATAAAATCCCCATTGCCGCTTGGTCTTCCCAGCCACACTTAGGCTCCTGTGGGCTGAAGCGTCTCTCCACCTTGGACTTGATCTGGAACTTCTAATTCCTTCTTAGGGCTTCAGCCTTTCCAGACGCCTTGACTAGGTGCTCTGCCAGGGGCTCCACGGGACTAAGTAGAGCAGAGAAGAGGAAAATCACATAACTGGGCTGACTAGTAATTATTCACTCCCTTTTTGGGTCCCCCAGGTCCCTGGCTGTGCTCTAAACCCCCCTTTCTGTCTGCATCTCATCCCTGGTCTCCAAGGCGCCTTGGTGACCAGCTCTGTTACAAGCACAGCTACTTCTCGTACCACACAGCTGGGGAAGAAGAAGAGACTGCGGTTCCTAAGGCTGCAGCAGACCAGAGACAGGGACAGAAACAAGGAAGCTGTGTCACCTGGCCTGGTCAGGCTTCACCTGGAACCTGTGCTCAGAGCCCAGCTGGGATTTGAGGAAAGTGAACTAGCATGAGAGAGCATCACACATACACACAAACAACACAATACAGACAACACACAAAAACACACAACACACACCAACACACATGACACAATACAACATACATGACACATAACACAAACACACATGACACACATGAAACACACACCACACGACACACACACAACATACACAAAACACACAACATATACACAAGACATGCAACACACACAAGATACAACACACACCACACACACTGCATGCATATCACCACACGCATATCCACACCACCCATCACATGACAACACACACCCCCTCACCACGCCCACAACACAGTCTACAACACACATATCACCACACACCACACCATAACCACATCACACGCCATACCACACACACCACACAATACCCCTCCACAACACACATACACACACCCCACAATACATACATGCATCCCATAACACACACACACACACACACACACACACACACACACACACAACCCATTCCGGGCACGTCCTATTATCAGGAACTGTTCCAGCTGACAGCAGACAGTGATTCCATCTGGCTGGCAGCCGACAGGGAGATGGGACAGGAATTTATCTGTAAGGGAAATAAGAACACAAGAACTTCTGTCCAGTCAAGCTGACGCAAAGACAAACTTTTGAAGACACTGAGACTGGGGACACTGTCGTACTCAGAACATTCAAAGCTTGTCAGGTGCCACCTTGCAATGGATTTTTGATGAAAAGCACCTGTCAACCTGATTCTCTAGACAAGGCACATTTTCAAGGTGCCCAAAGGACAAGGGCTGGGAGCCAAGGCTGGTAAATGACTTGGGGGTCTGAGAACCCCAGTGTGGGAGGGCACAGCTAACCAGGAGAGGTGATGAATAAGGAGTCCCCATCTGTCCTGCACCAGCAGACGGTAGCACGGCCACTGCCCTGGGAAGCCAGTGAGCTCCTCAGCCTCCTGCCTCTTCTCCTGCTGCGATGGACCCAAACTGGCACAGCCTTGATCAACCTGTCACCCCCTCTTACCCCTTTGTTCTTCCTGTGCAGTGAATGGCATCCGCCCCTGCGCTCCAACCCCTCCATGGCCCCAAGCTCTCACCCCTCCAGGGCCCCAGGCTCCCACCCCCTCAGTCTTTCTGCCCTCAGTGGGTGGCCACAAGCAAGTCTTCCATCCCAATCAAGCAATCAGAAAACCCTGGGGCCCTGAGGTTTGCTTCCGTTGTTTTTCTATCATCCTCTTCCTACTTCAATGGCTGCTTGCCCTTTACCCTCCCCTCCCCTCCCTTCCCCTCCCCTCCCCTCCCCTCCCCTCCCTTTCCTTTCCTTTCCTTTCCTTTCCTTTCCTTTTTCCCTTTTCTCTTTTCTTTTCTTTTTTACTTTAAGTTTTGGGATACGAGTGCAGAATGTGCAGGTTTGCCACATAGGTATATGTGTGCCATGGTGGTGTGCCGCACCTGTCAATCAACCCATCATCTAGGGGCTGCACTTTTCAAAAGAGCCGTTTTGCTCATTTGTTGTTTACTCATCCATCCATCCATCCACCAGCCTTGGATCGAAGGCCTCTAATGTGCCTGGAAGTGTGCAAAGTGCAGAGCACATGAGGATGAACAGGGCCATTCTTGCCCTCAAGGAGGTCACAGACTGGTTGGGGGGACCAGTGAGGAAACAAAGCACAGAGGAGGGTGAGTGCCATCTGGGACACAGGTTGTGTCTGGGAGTGCACCTTATCCTCCCAGCTCCTCCTTCAAGACAAGGCGTGGCATTACTTCCACCATGAGCGTTTTCTGCAGGACTCCCATTTCCCATCTTGATCTCCCGCATCACCTTGCAGGCACTACAGAGACGTCCCTGACATGTTTCCCCCTAATCCTCCCTTTACCCACTGACTCCTCTACTAACTTGTGAGTTTCCTAGGGCAGGGATTGGCCCAATTTACCCAGCACCTTTATTCCAAGCCCAGTGCTTAGCAAGTAGAAGCTCTCAGCAAATGCTAACTGAATGAGAATGAATGAATGTTAAAGGGGCACGTAGTTTTTGGGGGCAACTTAGGTGATGCGACAGGAATGTAAGTGAGAGATACCCACGGAGGAGGCAGACAGTGGGAAGAAAGAGTCAAGAAAACGCACATTCAATCCATTCTCCCTTTTTTACCTTGGGCTTCTTTCTACCCACCACTTTTCTATTCAAACCTGAGCAGATTTTAAGCTAAGTTTTTATTTGTTTGTTTGTTTGTTTTTGTTTTTTGTAATCACAGAGGCCAATTCCCTTTCAAAACTGAAGGAGCTTTGCTGGTTGCACACAAAAACCATGCTTCCCGCCATGATGCAGCCAAACTCCTTCACCCACTGTGGAAGGAAGATTTAGATCTTTGTGGTCTGAAATGAGGAAGGAGGTAAAGTAGGGGAATTAGGGCATGGATGGTAAAATGGATGGGGCTCACCTGGTTTAGTTGTCGAGGAGATCTTGGGCAGAATTCATCTGGACCAAACTTTGTTCTTGGAAGTTGGTAAGATTTCATGATCCCTATTTCACTGAAGATGTAATTGGAGCCCAATGTTAAGAGGTAGAGTGGTTTACCCAAGTCCATAGAGCTAGTAAGAACCCAGATCTTCTGATTGCTAAGGCAAGCCTCTTTTCAGGAACTCTCTGAAACTACTTGAGCAGTTAAATGAAGGGAACAGCTTGCGGTTTCTTCGGGGAGTCAACTTCCCCACAATTTCCCATTGACCTAAATGCCTTTCTTCTTTATCAGAAGCCATCTTAGACATGAACACAGCAGGTGATAAAGGTGAAGGGAAGGGGACATGAGACCCTCAGCGTTAAAGCAGCTTCCTGCAAGCCCAACCCCCCTTCCATAGGAGGACACTACTTGGGGTAGTGCCCTGCACCCCCAGTGGGGCTGATCACCTCAAATCTCATCAGGGCTCTAGAGAAATGACTTCCTTTTCTGTAAGTTTCAATACTGTTTAACTTTGCTAAAGATCAACTAATTCTGTTTCTTTTTGCTACAGACTCCATGGCAAATCCATTAGTAGCTTATTAGCCTGGACTATTGGAGCTGAGCTGATTCTAATTAAGGAAATTTAGTTTATGGAGCTTAAACCAATGCTGGAAGTGATCCGTGCCCAGCCTAACAAGAGCTTGATAAATGCCACAGCACAATTGGCAAATGCTGGCAATCAGAAGCAATGAAACCATTAATGGCTTTCAATAATTCAGTCAAAAAAGGTCACACGTTAGTCAGGGATGGGATGAGCAGAGGGAGGATGTAGGAGTTGAACAGTAATCTCATCAGGAATCTAATAAATTTGCCTGGTTTGGGGAAAGGAAAGAAAGCAATGTTGAAGACAGGACTCCAGGGCAACTGTGTGTTGAATGGATCCTTTTAAATATTAAAGTATACTAGGTTCTGGTAATTTTTATAACTTTGGGTTTCTTACTTTTTAGGATAGAAATGATCAGTAAGTTTGGATGCACACATATGAAAAGAATGCTTCTTATTTGTAAAGCTCATTTTTTTTTATGATTATACTTTAAGTTCTGGGGTACATGTGCAGAACATGCAGGTTTACTACATAGGTATACATGTGCCATGGTGGTTTGCTGCACCCATCAACCTGTCATCTACATTAGGTATTTCTCCTAATGCTATCCCTCCCCTAGCCCCCATCCCTCCGACAGGCCCCCGGTGTGTGATGTTCCCCTCCCTGTGTCCATGTGTTCTCATTGTTCAACTCCCACTTACGAGTGAGAATATGTGGTGTTTGGTTTTCTGTTCTTGTGTTAATTTGCTGAGAATGATGGTTTCCAGCTTCATCCATGTCCCTGCAAAGGACATGAACTCATCCTTTTTTATGGCTGCATAGTATTCCATGGTGTATATGTGCCACATTTTCTTTATCCAGTCTATCATTGATGGGCATTTGGGTTGGTTCCAAGGGCTCAATATTTTTCTTAACCATTGTGTTTCTTGTTTGATTCTCTAAATAATTCTGTGAGATAGTTAAGGCAGTTAGGTCTACAGTGGCTTAGGGTGTGGTGCTACTTAAAGGCAGGACAATGAATGGACTACTAGGTGATTGTGCCGTCTTTGAGGGTCACTTCTGGTCTTCAGTCTTGATGCTATAAATTTAGACCCAAGAACCTACGGAACAAGAGGAACTTGCCTTTGGCTCAGACTTCACATCATTTAATGAGTAATAAGTAGAAGCCCATCATCATAGCCATCCCACTTTATAAATACCTGCACCTTCCATTTTACTTGAAGAGATCATTTCTTCCTTTAGGCTGGATGGTATCTTTGTAAAACATCAAAGGCAGAATTTTGAGATGGAGGCAGCACGATTCACAATGGCCACGATATGGCTAAGTGTCCATCAATAGATAAATGGATAAAGAAAATGTGGCATATTTACACAATGGGATACCATTCAGCCATAAAAAGAATGAAATCCTCTCATTTGAGCAACATGGATAAGCTTGGAGAACATTATGCTAAGTGAAATAAGCCAGGCACAGAAAGACAAATACTCCTCGATTTTACTCATCTGTAGAATCCAGAAAATGTTGATCTCATAGAAGTAGAAAGCGGAATGGTGGTTACCAGAGGCTGGGGAGGGTAGGGAGAAGGAGGGAATGAGGAGAGACTGGTCAATGGGTACGGAGTTACAGTTAGATGGGAGGAATAAGTTCTAGTGTTCCACTGCACAGTCAGGTGACTAGAGTTAATAGTAATATATTGTATATTTCAAAATAGCTAGAAGGGAGGATTTTGAATGTTCTTACCACAAATAAATATTAAATCTTTGAGGATCTAGATGTGTTAATTATCCCAATGTAGTCATTTTACATTGTATACATGTACTGAAACATCACACTGTACCCCATAAATATGTACAATTATTATGTGCCAATGAAAAATAAAATAAAAAATATTTTAAATTTACATACAGTAAAATTGGTGGGTGCGTGTGTGTGTGTGTGTGTGTGTGTGTTTGTATGTCCATGTACCTGTTCTATTTCAGGTCTGCTTGGCCAAATTGCAAAATTTTCATCACATTTTACAGATACAGTAGACTCTTGAATACAACCTATCAGACAAAAATCTATACTACCAGAATAAACCTGTATGTGTGGTGAGGAATATTATGGAAGCCTAGAACAAAAGGACCTGCTGAATAACATCATAGAATAGATACTCTGTATGAGCACTTATTTCCTTCTACGCAAAAGAAGGGAAAACATTTTGCAAATAATTTTGAGATTTACTTACTCCTGTATATATGGAGGTCCTTAAGAATGTTTCAATGTCCACAAATGCTGATGGCTCTCAAATTAATATGTTCATGTATTCAGCCAGTACTTGTTTTCTCAGTCTCTACTGCATGTATCCAAATGCCTGGTCCACATCTCCATTTCATACCTAACAGACATCTTATATTTCACATGTACAAAGCTGAGCTAATTCTGGACTCCCCTCTCTCACTGAAAACAAAACCTTCTTCTTATAGCCTTCCCTGTTTGGATAAATGGCAATTTTATTTGCTCACTTGTCTAGGCTAAAACTTTTGGCATTGTATTTGACTCTTTTTCTTTCTTTCTTTTTTTTTTTTTTGAGATGGAGTTTTGCTCTTGTTGCCCAGGCAACAAGAGATCACGGCTCATTGCATCCTCCGCCTCCCAGGTTCAAGTGATTCTCCTGCCTCAGCCTCCCGAGTAGCTGGAATTACAGGCGCCTGCCACCACACCTGGCTAATTTTTGTATTTTCAGTAGAGACAGGACTTCACCATGTTGACTGGGCTGGTCTCGAACTCCTGACCTCAGGTGATCTGCCCGCCTCAGCCTCCCAAAGTGCTGGGATTACAGGTCTGAGTCACCATGCCTGGCCTGACTTCTCTTTTTCTTTCATGACTCACATCTGATCTGTCAGCAGGTCCTGTAGATTCAGGGTCTTTTAAAAATATGTATTCGGAATCCTTTAAAAAATTTATAAATATAATTCATCACATGCACTGATAGAAAAATAAAAATGATATATTTATCTCAATAGCTACAGGAAAAGCTTTTCACAGTATTTAACATAAATGCTGGTCAAAAAATGTTAAATTTAGAAAGGAATTTTTTAACTGAATAAAAGATAAAAAATTACATTAATGGCAAAAACCACAGTTACTTTCGCACCAACCCAACAAAACTCATCAACCTAAATTGAGAAATATTAGAAGAATTCTCATTAAAATCAGGAGCAAGGCAAGAATGGTTATTATCATCACTTTTATTCAATGTAATACTGGAGGTCCTAGTCAGTGCCACGGTACAAAAAAGAAAAAGATGGAAAGAAGACAGTCGTACTGTTTTTCTTGCCTATTCTTTATGCAAATGTTTTCTCACCTAGGCTGTTTGTGCACCTCTCCCCTCCTGAAATGGTCTTCCTCATACAGTATGAGCACAGTGTTTGTTAAATGAATTAACAGATGAGAAATGTCAGCTTCATGCAGGCAAGATTTTTGTCTGTTTTGTTCACTGCTGTATCTCTAGCTCTTAGGAGTGTGTATACAGGAGAAAAACTAGCTACATAATTTGCAAAATGAAAACGTGGGGTTCTTGTTAAGGATATTCTTAAGATTTTCAAGGTAGTGGCTGCAGAGCATTGAACCAAGCACAGGGAACCCTCTGCACCTGCTCAGGTACTGTGCCTGTAAGGTCAGCCCCACCTAGAAATTACAGAGCAGGCACTCGAAAAATAATTGCGGAATGATGAACACGTGAATAACCTCACCTCATCATCTCTAGGTCCGTGAAGGAGTGGGTACAAATGAAGCACAGACAACTAAATGACTTGCCCACTTTTACAGAGCGTGTGCTCTATCTTAGCCAAATCCAGCTGGAAGTCTGGGTCAAGCCACCTGCTGTGTAGTCCATTCAGATCAACCCTGGGTCCTGGGCAGAGTGGAGAAGAGTGGAGTGTGTGATGGGCAGAGAGGATTACTCAGCTCGTCAGTGGACTTGTATGACAGCCCCAGATCCTAGCCCCAGGGCAGGTGCATACTTGATGAATAAATGAACACATGCATTGATAAGAAAAGAGATGAGTGTTGAGAAGATGTAGTCCAGGTCACCGTAAGTGAAGGAATGGAAGCCTAGTGAGTTTGTCTAACAGATGAAGCCCACTTCACAGATGTGTGTGAAGTGAACTGCAGTTTACTCCTAGAAGGTGAGTTCAGCGTGCCCAGCCTGCTCCCTGTGTCTTGCTTCAGCTTTCTGTGTGTTGCTGACAGGGCTATGGCGGTGGGAGAATGGGAGGGTCGGCTGACTTATTCCACTTCCATGCTGAATTTCCTTTCCCCACAGCTTCTCTTGCTCTCCCCTGCCCTCGCTTTTCCCCGCTGCCATTGACATAATTGGGGATGGGGCTGGGTGGAGTTAGAGGAAGGGGAAGGGGGTTGGGTTACCTTGACAATGAGGGGGTTGAGAAAAAGAGTCCAGATTGAACTTATTAAGGGAGTAAATTAATGATACAAGATACCCAGGCTCATTTTCTGAAACTCTTAATCAGCCTCCCCCACCTCCGACCTCAAGGGTCTCCCAGGCCTTACACAGATAGTTAGTTGACAAAGGGTCTAATGCTATTGACTGCTGGTGATCATAGAAAAAAATTTGTTTTTACCTTGAAGAACTTTACCTTTCCTATCTTGAAGAACTGGTTTGCTCTTGGAAGAGCAAACCGGTTTTCCAGATGATTATAATTTTGTTAACACAATTTTTTTCTTTTGCCTTGATCTTCAGGAAGCCTCAAGCTGAGTTTGATGCCCAAATTCAAATATCATGGAAGCAATTATATTAGTCATGTAAACCTTTTTCCTTTTTAATTCTAACATTTTGTTTTTGGATTTCAGATTCGGTAGCATTATGCCATACTTTAAAAAATGACACCTTTAAAAAACATTTCTGGAATATGCTGAAGTATAGATGGTCAATGAAACAAATTTTGTTAGCCAGACTTGTCTGTTTCCATTTCCAGGCCCAAATCACACGGAGAAACTCACGGAAGATGAGTGGAACGAAGTGTGTTAGTTCGTTAGGACTCTGCCATAACAAAATACCAGGTAGTTTAAACAACAGAAATCACTTTTTTTTTTTTTTTTCACAGTTCTGGGGTCTGGAAGTCCCAGGTGCCAGCAGAGTGGGTTTCTCTCAAGACCTCTCTCCTTGGCTTGCTGGGTCCTCACGTGGCCTTTCCTCTGCACATGCACCTCTGGTGTCGCTTTCTTTCTTAGAAGGACACCAGTCTTACTGGATTAGGACCCACTCTTATGATCTCATTTAACCTTCATTACCCCTTTAAAAGCTCTGTCTTCAAATAGATATGGTCTATTTCAAATAGATACGATCTATTTCAAGTAGATACGGTCACATTGGAGGTTAGGGCTTCAGTGTATGAATTTTGGGAGGACACGACTCAGTCTATAACATCAGGTCTAACTGAATTCTTATGAAATAATTAAAAGGGCCAATAAATAGAAAACCATCCAGGGGCCATGATTTTGCTTTCTGCATGGCCAGGAACGAGGTATGGGCTGGTTGAAGGAATCTGCCCACTGTCTGACTCTCCCACTGCCAGACTACCTGCAGAAAGAGAGGGCTGTCTGTCCCAGGAGCTCTTCCTAGTCTTCTCATTTTTGTATGGTTGTGCTTCTCAACAATTCTCCTTCAACAAAGCTTTATCCGTGGAACTTACAGCTCATCCAACCAACCACCCTCTACATTGGCTTGGAATCCAGCAGCAGGTGCCATGTTTTGGCTGTGCAACCTCAGGACTTCCTGCCTTGCCATGCACTTGAGCAGGAGTTTTTGCCAGCTCCCTGCTTTGATGTCTCTGAGATGAGAAGCTTGGAGTATAGTGCTATGATTTGGATATTTGACCCTCCAAATCTCATGTTGAAATTTGATCCCCAAGTTTGGAGGTGAGGCCTAGGGGGAGGTGTTTGGGCCATGAGGGTGAATGCTCATGAACAGCTTGGTGCTGTCCTCCTTATGGTAATGAGTTCTCACTCGATTCGTTCATGGGAGAGCTGGTTGTTTAAAAGAGCCTGGAAACTCCTCTTTTCGCTCTTGCTTCCTTTCTGGCCATGTGACCTGTGGACACAATGGCTCTCTTTGCCATCTGCCATGAGTGGAAGCAGCCTGAGGCCCTCACAAGGTGCAGATGTTGGCACCATACTTCCTGTACAGCCTGCAGAACATGAGCCAAATAAGCCTATTTTCCTTATAAATTATCCAGCCTCTGGTATTCCTTTATAACAATGTGAATGGTCTCAGTGTTGGACTCAGTGTTGGAGTCAAGGGGATGCTGAATTGCACTTGGTGTTGGAGTCAGATCACAAGTCTACTGGCTCCCTGGCCTGTGCAGAGCCGAGGCCATTCAGGGCTGGTGCTGATGGGGACGCTGCAGCTTTTTCCCTCTTCTGGTCTTGCTGTAAAAGCTACACCTCGCTTGACTTGTACAGGGGACCAGACATACATTTCTTCTCTTCTCTCTAGAGCATGGGGCGATGACGCAGAATTCACTCCTGAGTTCTGGAAGTGCCGTATCCTCAGTATAACCTTTGTAGCATTTGGCATGGAGGAACCCTCTATGAACTCATGTTATCAAAGTGATTGCGAGCATGAAAGGGGCACCCCCTAAACATTTTCTAAGCGAACCCTCTGCTCTGGGTACTGTGAGAGGTTCTAGGGTTATAGTGATGAGTGGGAAACCAACTTGCCCTGCAAAACTCACATGACAGACATGGTGTTAGATACTTAAGCAGATGCTTACCATAAAGCTTCATAGAACAATGACAGAGATACACACGAGGGCTGGGAGGGCTGGGAGGGCTGGGAGGCCCCCCCCTGGCTAAACCAGACCATGGTGCAGGACTCAAGTGTGGCAGGACTGCAGAAGAGGCTTTCTTTACAGAGGGGTAATGAAAGAAATGAGGATCAATAGGATGTCACGGAGCCGTCTCTGAGAGTGTGCTGGAGAGGATCAGCCCTTGGGACACCAGTGAACATGTAGATATATCCTGGCATTTCTGAATGCTTCTGAGTGACGACCCAACTCAGGAGTCAGAGGCAGGGACCCTGGGGAAGTCTGCAGAGCCACCTCTTCTCTGCCTGGGCTATCAGCTTTCTGAACGATACAGTCGGCTGCTGGGCTTGGATGGTGGAGTGGGCCTTCATCACTGGTTGCTGCCAACGTCTTTTTATATTCTCCCTAGATGTTGGTTGTTTCCCATATCATGAGTCAGCAGGTCTTTTCCCATATTAGGAATCCTGCTTTCTCAGGGCAGATTCCATAAAGCTCACATGAAGGTGGAGGCATGTAACTTAGGATCCGCCACATGGATGCACGCCACACCCACCCTGTGAGACATGGATTGGGAAGTGGGCATCCCAGGAAGGCAGCTGCGCATCAGGGCAGGGGATCTCCTGGGAGCACAGGGCGTGTTGTGCAGCTGTGCCAGGTGGCAATGGTGGGACTCCAGGCACTGGGACCTTGCCATGCAGGTGAGCTTTCCTGTTGCTGTTGCAAGAAAATGTTCCAAAGAGCTAAGAGAGACGTGTAGAGGACATCTAAGCTGCCTGGTAAACAGTCAGTGGCAGATTTCTAACTGAACCCAGCAGCGGCCAGAAGAGCCATTTGCCTAAGTCACTGACCCCCAGAATTGTGACAGAAGTTGCCCCACGGTGCGATCGAGCATTGTTCCTGGAGGCCTAGAGTAGAGGCTAGCTCTGTGGACCATCATGATTCTCCTACTTACCATCCTTAAGTAAATTCCTTTTCAGTTTAAACTCTTGTGTTAGTCCATTTTGCATTGCTACAAGGGAATACCTGAGGCTGGGTAATTTATAAAGAAAAGAGGTTTATTTGGCTCCTGGTTCTGCAGGCTCAGGAAGCATTTCCTCACGGCAGGAGGCGGAGGGGGAGCAGGTGTGTCACATGGCGAGAGAGGGAGCAAAGGAGAGGGGAGGAGGAGGTGCCAGAGTCTTTTAAACAACCAGCTCACAGGAACTAACAGAGTGAGAACTCACTCATTACCTCGGGGAGGGCACCAGGCCACTCATGAGGGATCCAACCCCATGACCCAAACATCTCCCACTAGGCCCCACCTTCAACACTGGAGATCCCATTCCAACATGACACTTGAATGGTACAAGTATCCAAACCAAATCCGCTATCCAGAGTTTGCAACCAAGAACCTTGACCAACATCTTGGTAAAAGACACAGCAAAAGAAAACAGATGAAACCCACAGAGTCCTGCATCTCATCCTTCATGCCAACCCCCAGAGTAGCCTGGGTGGTGCAGTGGCCTCAGTGAAGGTCACTGAGCTCATAAGGAATCCTATCCTAGCTGTGGAGTTTGGCCAAAATACGGATGGAAGTGGGCTAGAAGGAGGTGGAGACTGAGATTTTAGAGAAAGATGACTAAGGACCCCACGGCTGTCTGAGTGAGCACTAATTCAGGGTCACATGGGCTGTCCTCAGTTGAGATAGAAGAAACTGAGAGACAGGAAATACTGAGATTCGGTAGTGAACCTGGACAGAAAGAGGAGGGAGACAGGTAGCCAAAGGCTGAGGCCAAAGGAAGCCAGGGATGTGCTGGAGTGGAGGCTGGGGAACAGCTTCAGGCTGGTGGCTCTGGGAGGCCTGGAAACTGAAATCATCGCCTCTGCTCTATAATGTCTCTGGGGGAGGCAGGAATTGATTTCCCTGTGGGGCTGTGGTTTCGAGTGCAGGCAGGAAGAAAGGCAGCTCTGGACACCGTCTTGTTCTCCCTTCTGGGATGACCACACGAACTTACGCAGTCTTTGCTCTGCCTCACTGGTTTCTGCTTCCCCTGTCCTTGGCCCCCACCTTCTCTGCTGTCACAATGTGGACAGGAGACAAGGTCTTCAATTCTATTAAGCGCAGCACAATGATTTATCTGTGTTCTCTGCATTTGAAATCAAATCAGAGTCAAATCTGATCACTGAGGAACAGAGAAACTCATTTAAGCCAAGGGCTTTGCTGGTCATCTCCATCAAAGGGGGAAGGAAAGGGCTCTGGTTCAGTTAGCCTGGGGAGGGGATGAGGTCGTGTGAGGTGGATTTATAATTGAGCCTACAGTAAAACTCGGAGGGGGCTGGGACAGCTTCCCCTTCCCACCCACATGCAGGCTGGCAAACAGCACTCCTGTGTTAGGTCCCTGGAGCACCTGTGCCTCTGTCTTGTGTCCCCTGTCTTGAGTCTTGGGAGGAGGCAGTGCCCGTTCCTCAGCGAAGAGCACAGTTCAAACCCTTCCTCCCACTGCACTGTCGCGGAGTCTGCAATCACAGTGGCAGAGGCTTTCTGCTTTGAGGCTTGTCAGCCTTCAGGAAACTCAGATTTAGCTCCAAATGCCATGGAAAGAGGAATTTCTTCAACCATTAGAGGCAGGGGGCTTGGTCAAGCCAGAAGGCAATGGAACAAAGCACAGGTTGGGAGAGGAAGGGAGAGGCGTGGATCAGGGGCTAAGAATCAACCAAACACCAATCAGGCCAGTTTCCAGTCTTGTCCAGGGCTGGCTTTGATTCCAAGCGCTGTTAGAATTACAGTTTTCTTTCTTTCTTTCTTTCTTTTTCTTTCTTTCTTTCTTTCTTTCTTTCTTTCTTTCTTTCTTTCTTTCTTTCTTTCTTTCTTTCTCTTTCTTTCTTTCTTCCTTCCTTCCTTCCTCCCTCCCTCCCTCCCTCCCTCTCTCTTTCTCTCTCTCTCTCTTTCTTTCTTCCTTTCTTTCTTTCTTTCTTTCTTTCTTTCTTTCTTTCTTTCTTTCTTTCTTTCTTTCTTTCTTCTTTCTTTCTTTCTTTTTTGAGATGGAGTCTTGCTCTGTCACCCAGGCTGGAGTGCAGTGGTAGATCTCCGCTTACTGCAACCTCTGCCTCCCTGGTTCGAGCAATTCTCCTGCCTCAGCCTCCCCAGTAGTTGGGATTACAGGCGCCCGCCACTGTGCCGCCAAATTTTTGTATTTTTAGTAGAGACAGGTTTTCACCATGTTGGCCAAGCTGGTCTCGAACTCCTGACCTTAAGTGATCTGCTTGCCTCATCCTCCCAAAAGAATTATGGTTTTCTAAAGCTGGTGTATGGGAAATGAGTAAAGTAAACCACTCTGCTGGAGCCTCCTGTCTATGCAGGTTCACACTCTAAGACTTAGAAATTTTGTGGGAAGACATTCCCATCTTTTCTTTGCTAATAGTGGATCTCTTTTTTAAATGATTTTTTTCAACTCTGAAAATATAAACTCCATGCAATAGGTAAAGGTGCATGTCTTAACACTGTGTCCCTGACACAGAGTAGACACTCAGTAAGAATGTAAGCCACACAGATGAACTGTTGTGTTTTCCAACCCGTAATACCTCAAAGGAAAACAAGTTCCAAAGACCAACGACGTCACGGTGTGCAAAGTAACACTTCTTTTGTCTTGTTCTTAAAGAAGAAACCAGTATTTCAAGTTCAGAAGAATAAGTGATTGCATTGTCAGTGGTTTTCAGTATCTTTCTTCTTTTTTATTTTTAAAGCAGTGAAATTGTTTTATTAAATCTAATTTTACCTGGAACTTCTTGTTCATCATGGGGCAGGCCTCCCCTTTCTTTCCCCCTTGGGGTGGCTCAGAGGGAACTGGAATCCCGGTACTCCTGGGCATGGGAAAACCCCTGGACCTTCCAACTTCAGAGTTCTCTGCTGTGAATATCCGCTTCACAAGACATCCCGTGGGTGTTGAGAGATGCTGAGTTCAGTTTCTCCTTCTCTCATCCATTTTAGAGTTTCACACTTGTCACTATTAGGAAATGCTGCATCTTTTCTAACCCCAATTTCTAAAAATTTATTTACTTATTTATTTTTTGAGACAGGGTTTCCCTCTGTCACCCAGGCTGGAGCGCAGTGGTGCGATCACAGCTCAGAACAGCCTCAACCTTCTGGGATGAAATGATCCTCCTGCTTTAGCCTCCCGAGTAGCTGGAACTACAGGTGTGTGCCGCCATACCCAGCTAATTTTTGTATTTTTTGGTAGGAGCGGGGTTTTGCCATGTTGCTCAGGCTGGTCTTGAACTTCTGGGCTCAAGAATTTCTCCTGCCTTGGCCTCCTGAAGTGTTGGGATTACAGGTGTGAGCCACCAAGCCCTGCCAACCCCAATTTTTAAATAGTCTTTGGCATTAGGGTAATAATGGTCTCATAAAATGAGTAGGAATAGAGATGTGTTAGCTCTCCTTCTATTTTCTGAAAGAGTTTTGTAGAAATGATATTATTTTTTCTCTAAAATGAGGGCCATTTTATACAGCAGAATATTTGGTAGAATTTTCTAATGAAGCTATGCAAGCTTGAAGTTGTATTCATGGGAAATTTTTTTTTTTTGAGACAGCGTCTTGCTCTATCACCCAGACTGAAGTAGAGTGGAATGATCTCGGCTCATTGCAACCTCTGCCTCCTGGGTTCCAGTGAGAACGTCTGGCTAATTTTTATATTTTTAGTAGAGATGGGGTTTCACCATGTTGGCCAGGCTGGTCTTGAACTCCTGAGTTCAAGTGATCTACTTGCCATGGCCTCGCAAAGGGCTGGGATTACAGGTGTGAGCCACTGCGCCCGGCCATCCATGGGAAGATTTTAAACAAAACATTCAATTTCATTAACAAATATAAGGTTTATTCACATTATCTATTTCTTCTTGAGTGAGACCACAGTGGCTGAGACAAATTTTCCAAAATGATAACTTTCTCTTGAAAGCTGAAATTGCATCACTGGCAACACATAGTGTCAGTTGTTTTCCTTGAAATGAGAAAATGTCTGCTATTCACTCAGGTTTTTTTTTTTTAGGTGACCCGTAAGACTTTATTTTATTTGAGTTCTTGAAATATTATATTCTCCTGTGGACATTACTTTCAAGTGGAAACTCTGCTACAGTCCATAAAGAAATGAAAAGTTCTCTACTGCAGCAACCCCACATCCACATTTATATGCACACAGACATTTGGCAACAAAAGTAATTTTCAGTAACAGAGGACATCAGAATATCTAGACTGCTCAATTAAAATTTTTGGAAAGCATAAACAACTTACCTTGAAATCTATGAACTAGCTCTCCTAAATTTTTCTTTTCTTTTCTTTTCTTTTTTCAGTCTGCATCCCAGTGTTTATTACCAGCCCACAAGGGAGTATTATTTTTTTTTTGTTTGTACATTCTTTTTTTTTTTTTTTTTTTTTTTTTTTTTTAGTATTTATTGATCATTCTTGGGTATTTCTCGGAGAGGGGGATGTGGCAGGGTCATAGGATAATAGTGGAGAGAAGGTCAGCAGATAAACACGTATTCTCCCAGGTTTAAATGTCTGTCAATTGTTCTCTCCAGTAAAAATAAAGCTCTATTGAAAAAGTGACTTGTTCAGCTTGAGATGCAAACAATTGTCTAAATGCCTTTCCTTGAAACAACCACAGTGCTTTGGTGGAATAAAAGAAAAACTTCAACCAAATTAAATTAAAGGAGTTTAATTGAGCCATGAACAATTCATGAATCGGGCAGCCTCCAAAGCCAGAGTAGGCTCAGAGACTCCAGCACAGCCACAAGGTGGAAGAAGATTTATGAACAGAGGAAGGAAAGTGACGTATAGAAAAGGAAGTGAGGCCCAGAAACAGTTGCATTGGTTACAGCTTGGCATTTGCCTTCTTTGAACAAGGTTCAAACAGTTGGTTACATCTAATTGCCCAAAACTCGGTGATTGGCACAAGTGTAGGCTGCAGTCTGGTTACACCTCCACTTGTTATAGCTCACGATGTAAAGAGAAATCATTAGGCCAAACGTAAAATATGTAAGTTCATAAAGGAGGCAGCTTTAGGCTGAACTTGATTTAACAGGTGCTCAGCAGAGTATATTTCCCATTTGGTCACAAGGAATACTAAAAAGATGTGTAGTCAAGGGTTGAGCCAGTTGAGACCTAGTAATAATCTATAATCTTAGCAAGGGCATTCTCACATGAACCTGGAAGTCCTGTGCTTCTGTTATTCAGTGTCTGAAATCAGTTTCATGCATTTTGGCTGGCGTTCCAGTTGCTTAAGGCAGGATGGTAAACACAGTCCCTGTTAGTGCATTACAATGTTTTTGTCCGCTTCTGGAAATCCTGTTTATCCACTACGAGGTCTCCCAGAGCTGTCCTTCAAGTGTCTTCTCTTTCCCCCGATTTTCATCTCAATTTTTTTTTCTCTGTACTTTGGCACATTTTTTACATTTAGTTTATATGTACTACATTTTAAAATCCAAAACATGTTTTCTGGTAAGCTCCTGGAGTCTTTTTTATGCTTTTTTGGGGTCTCCTTGCTTCTTCTTCTTCTTTTTTTTTTTTTTTTTGAGATGGAGTCTCACTCTGTTGCCCAAGCCAGAGGGCAGTGGCATGATCTCGGCTCACTGCAGCCTCTGCCTTCCAGGTTCCAGTGATTCTCCTGCCTCAGCCTCCCAGTAGCTGGGATTACAGGCACATGTCTCTACCACCTGGCTCATTTTTTTTTGTATTTTTAGTAGAGACGGGGTTTCACCATGTTGGCCAGGCTGGTCTTGAACTCCTGACCTCAGGTGATCCGCCCGCCTCAGTCCCTCAAGTGCTAGGATTACAGGCATGAACCACCACGCCCGGTCAACTATTCTTATTATCTTCTATCACAGGTGTTCATCTTTCTTCTTCAGGGACAGTCATATGCCTCATAATAATTTTTGGCCAATGATAGACCACATATACAACAGTGGTCCCATAAGATTATAATACCATGTTTCGACTGTACTCTCTCTCTGTTTGTGGATATTTAGATACACAAATGCTTACCATTGTATTATAACTTCCTATAGTATTCAGTACTGTAATATGCTGTATAGGTTTGTAGACCAGGAATGATAGACTGCACCGTCTAGCCTAGGTGTGTAGTAGGCTATCCCATCTAGGTTTGTGTAAGCACATAAAGTTTGCACAATGAGGAAATCACCTAACAACACATTTCTCAGAATGTATCCCCATCGTTAAGCAATGCACGGCTGTATTTTATTGGGTGTGTGTTGTGAATGTTTTGTAGGTACTTTCTCTCTCTGGCTGCTGGGCCCTTTTAGAGGTGCTATAACTTTTTATTTGTTGGCTCACCAGGGTTTGGGTAACAGGAATGGTGATGCCTATGGGATCCTGAAAATGCATTTTTTACACTAGATTGATGAAATATTTCTTTTTAGATGTTAGATATGTGTTAACCCTTTGGGGAAATAAAGACTTAAGTGGGATTGGGGTCAGAGGTAATTATTCTCTTTTCGTGGGTGGAGAAAATGAGACTGAGTAACGAGGTCCCTACCCAGCACCTGTCCAGAAGTCAGAAGTGGAAATTGGGAGAGGAAACTATGTTACATGAATGATTATCAACCATCTGTTGAGCTCATACCCAGACCTAGGCACTGAGATAAATGTTCCGCTTATATAATTTTAATTCCAGTTGTCAGGTTACTAACACTTGACATTTGCCATGTGATGTAGATACAATGACTATTCCCGATAACAGATAAAGAGGCTGTGTCTGAGGTCCCAAAGTAGAAAGTGGAGGAACTGGGATTTTAATTACGGCATGTCTTTTCTTTGAAATCCCTGATTGATCTTAACCCCTGTGTTGTGCTGCGTGGCGCTGGCCTCCTCTCTGGACAAGAACGGGAGTTGCTCCCTCTCCCAGTGGCCCCTTAACACTTTGTTCAATGGGTGGCTTCTGCATTTAGAAAAATCCTTTATGTTCTCTTAGTGCATGAGGTCAAGGCCACCACCCCCTCATCTCCTGTACACTCTTCCCAGCGCAGCGGCTCAGCTATTGTTATTATTTTAATTACTTTCGTATTTGGTGCTTAATTGCAGAGACTGGTGGGTTGGGTGCTGTTTTGGGTGATGGGCTACGCACTCCCTTTTGCTTTGACCTTTCCTGCCCCTTACCCTTTTGTTTCCCTGATTCACAGTCTCTTTCCTTATTACCATGAAATCTGGGGGTAGAACAGTCTTATTTCTGGTTGCCATTAGCATTTTATTTTGAAGACCTCTGAGTGATGGGTGTGGCATACTCAAAGATTCTCTCTGGGATTTGGGTGGCCTCTGCCGAAGGAGCCTCCAAGCACAGTCTGAGAAAGAGAAGAGGTATGGGCTGCCTGAACCAATGCTTCTTAACCCTCATGGCAGTGAGGGTTTTGGCTTTGGAATGCAGCCTGAGTTATAATATCTCTCTGAGGGAGGAGGTCGAAGGAAGAAGCTAAATAGCCTGGGTACCCAGGATGGGGATCCTGCAGAGGCTCAATGGTAGGAGAAGGAGGTTGGTCTCTTCCCCTGTGATGGGATCAGTCAAAGCCAGGATGCCCCCAGAGTCCAGATGGGTGGATTTCTATCAAAAGTCATCCTCAATGGCCCCTCCTAGGCATCACCCCTATAGATTCTATTTCAGAGGGTTTTGATGGGTCCTGGTATGTGTATTTTGTTAAAATACACATACCAGGACCCATAAAAATATCCCTGGGGATTTCGAGCACCCAGGAAATGACAATCATTACCGTGACTGGATCAGGGAGAGCACTATGCCTAGTACTACAGCACTGTGTCTAGCACCCAGGGAATGACGACCATTACTGTGACTGGATCAGGGAGAGCACTGTGCCTAGTACTAGAGCACTATGCTTAGCACCCAGGGAACGACAATCATTACTGTTATTGGATCAGGAGCAGAGGGTGATCCTAGAGCACAAATGAGAATTGGGGCCAGAAACACAGCGTGTCAGAGTCAGGCATGACAAAGAAACCCTGGAACTCAGGTTTTAAGCAATAGAGAAAGGTAGACACAGTTCCTCCAGGGATGTGAGGGACCAAGGGCCTTGAACACCTGGCTCTGCTGAGTACCCAGTGTCTCCTTGCCTTCCCCTCTTTAGCTAGTTCACTTCCATGTGTTCAACCTGACTAGCGCCCTGCCTGGTTCTGACATTGTCTCACCAGTACCCTTAGGAACCCACAGTACAGGAAGTCAGCTCACTCTTTTTGTCCCAGATCTGACAGCTTTTCAACTTCCTGTGTAACCAACACCTGGGGGATGTTCCTTCCCATCTGGGCCCCCCACGTGTCCTTTCCAGCAACTCTGCACAGAAAAGTGAGATGAAGAATGAGTCAGCTCAACGAAGGGAGGCCAAGGAGGACTCAGCAGCAGGCGTGCGGGGACCCTGCCATGAGTAATGACATGCGTCTGTCTTGCCCGGCTGAGTCAACTTTCTCATTTAGCATGACTGACCCTGCCACTAAGGAATTTAATTCGCTCACTTGCCAACCGGAAATAGTTCATCCCTGAGGTTTAGAAAATGACATAACCTGACAGCAGAGCTGTCTTCCTTGTCTGGGAGCCAGAGGAGGCAGTGGTCTTAAACACCAGCGAGGAGGGATACAGTGGGGACCCTTGGGTTGTCCTCTCTCTGCACTCTGCTCTTGCACCTGGCTCTGACTGTGCCCTTCTCTGGCCCCACTTGTGGGCTGAGATATCATGAGATTCCAACATCCTTTCCCACCCAGGCTCCTGCGCTGACATTCCATCTCTAACTTTTTGGTCAATATGATTCTCTTTACTACAAGAACAAGTCATTTATTCATTTGCTTAAACAGGAAAGTGAGAATTTGGGAATTTAGCTTCAATAGATTTTGCTGCTTTGCTGTTCAATGTGATTGTACCCATTTTTACTTTCGCCAGCTGGTTGTGAATGTACGAGGTCCATATTCCCCATGTCATCAAACATGAACAGTTTGCCAGGTGGGTGAGTATGAAGTGTTTCATTTTACTTTAATTGGCATTTCCCTGGTCACAAGTGAGGCTAATCTACTTTTCACATTCTAGTTGAATATTTTCATTTTCTCTTCTTTAAATTGCTTGCCTTTTGTCAATTTTTAACTTTTTTTGTCTTTTTGTATTGATTTGAGAAGTTCTTTATCTTGTACGGCTACGAGTTCTTCATTAGATATTTGTAATATTCCTCCTGGACTATCTCTTGACTTTTAACTTTATTTTGGGCCTCTATTATAAAACGGAAGTTTTAAATTCTA
The DNA here is from genome assembly GCF_000001405.40 of Homo sapiens. Taxonomy (NCBI): domain Eukaryota; kingdom Metazoa; phylum Chordata; class Mammalia; order Primates; family Hominidae; genus Homo; species Homo sapiens. The sequence goes on along the minus strand of NC_000010.11, from coordinate 5,316,948 downwards.
ACATAGTCAAATTTATCTTTCCTTTTCCCTTTGGCTTTGTGTGTGTGTGTGTGTGTGTGTGTGTGCATTGGGTATGAAGGCTCCCATCTTCCTAGCTATGCAGGACTGTATTTTCTCCTAATGATTTATAAATATTGCCTAATTTTGATTGCTATTTTTATTGAGGTTACTCATCTCTCAGTTTTGGGGAGGAAATGGTGTGAAGTAGGGATTTAACTTAATGCCCCCACAGATTTACAGCCAATAGTGCCAATACCGTTACTGAGTGGTCCCCCTCAACCCCATCCAAATACCACTAGTTAAAATGATATCTTTATCATGTGCTAAACTCCATGTATAGACATTGGCCTGTTTCTGGACCTCCTGCTCCATACCATCAAAATGTTTTAAATTACTGTTCTAGTAACACACTACTTTGATTACAATACCTCTAGAATATTTGGAATCTGAAGGACTAGTTCCACATCTTGTTCCTTTTCAAAATTTTCTTGGCTCTTCTGGTGCACATGGATTTTAGAATCAGCATCATTTTTGATGGCTGTTTTTTCTTTGCTTGTTTTCTTCTCCTGCCCAGTTTAAGTTTTCAGTATTTTCTTTTTTTTCTAGTTTATCTTTTTAGTTCCTCTAGTTTGTCCCCTGTCATCTTTCTTTTCTCCTTTTCCTCTATTTTCCTTGGGGAGGTGGATAGAAACCGGGAATGGAAATCAGAACAAGTTTTAATCTGCGTTCCGTCATGAGTCATCTGTGTGACCCTGGGCATGGCATCGCTCTTCTCTGGGTTATTGTTTCTTTTTCTCTAAAATGAAGGAGGAGTGGTCCAGATGAATTCTGAGATGACTTCTTCTTTTTTCTTTTTTTTTATACTTTAAGTTCTAGGGTACATGTGCACAACGTGCAGGTTTGTTACATATGTATACATGTGCCATGTTGGTGTGCTGCACCCATTAACTCGTCATTTACCATTAGGTATATCTCCTAATGCTATCCCTCCCCCCCGCCCCCACCCCACAACAGGCCCTGGTGTGTGATGTTCCCCTTCCTGTGTCCATGTGTTCTCATTGTTCAATTCCCACCTATGAGTGAGAACATGCGGTGTTTGGTTTTTTTGTCCTCACGATAGTTTGCTGAGAATGATGGTTTCCAGCTTCATCCATGTCCCTACAAAGGACATGAACTCATCATTTTTTATGGCTGCATAGTATGTGTATATGTGCCACATTTTCTTAATCCGGTCTATCATTGTTGAATGGCGATCATTAAAAAGTCAGGAAACAACAGGTGCTGGAGAGGATGTGGAGAAATAGGAATACTTTTACACGGTTGATGGGACTGTAAACTAGCTCAACCATTGTGGAAGTCAGTGTGGCGGTTCCTCAGGGATCTAGAAGTAGAAATACCATTTGACCCAGCCATCCCATTACTGGGTATATACCCAAAGGATTATAAATTGTGAGATGACTTCTAACATCTGCTCTTCTTCCTTTACACAACAGCTTTCAGCCTTTATTCTCTATTCTTCCATTGCATTTAGCTCTGCTCGTCAATGTCCATGTTACAGTAAGGGCAGTCCTTTGTCTCTTTCTTTCCACCTTTCTGACCTTACCTTCACCTCCCTCCACCCAACCACACACCCCAGACCCTGTTGTCCAGGCGCTGCAGATGTGTGGCCAGGAACCAACATGCCCGGACTCCGTGTTTTCAGCCTGCTCCTCAGCAAAACAAAGAAACGGAGCCTTTGGCGGCTGTCTTGGTTTACTCTCCCATCTCCCTTTCACGGTGTCCTGCTTTAAGACACAGAAGGCCTATTAGCCATGCTCACCTAGACAGGATTAGCAACAACTTGCTGCCCAGGTAACTACCACCTGGGCAATCTTCAACCTTAGCGATGGCCAGCGTGTATTTGCTTTGTTCAGCTGCTGTGTTTGCTTTTCTAACTGCTAATGGCCCACAGTTAGAGGGTTAATGAGGCAATAGGTGCTCTTCTGGCTAATTAAACTCTCAGCAAATGTGAAGCATTAGGTCAGATGATCTGAGTTCTCATTTGTCTGGAGGGATATGTTAATAGGAAAACTCTTTCCCTTTACTCATTTGAATGTTCTAAGGGCATGGGGAGAAGGTGTAGCTCAAGGGAGAGGGAGTATGCCCCCACATCATTTAAGGGGAAAGGATGTGGCCATCAGTGTGGCTTGATGAATTTTGTTTATAGTTCTAGAGATTCTCAGGATGGCAGGATGGTTCACAGCTGGGCCCCTCACTGGGCAGGAAACAGCCCCACCCAAGGTCACTATTCACCCTTCTGGCGTGGTTCACTGCCAATGACTGCTGGTGCAGACATCTGAAGTGCCAGCCCCTTGCCTCAATTTGAGACAACATAGAAGGATTATCCACAATCTAGAGCTCTCTGCAGGTATAGCCAAGACCTCTGTTGCAGCTGCAGCCAAGACCTCTGTTGCAGCTGCTTCCTGGGTCATCTTCTCTCTGGGCCCAGTCTTGCTTTCTCATGTCCTCACAGGTGTATCTCCTGGGAACACTCCCTCAAGACATTCTGCATGCAGCTGTCTGTGTCAGTCTTTCTAGGGATCCTAGTTTAAGATACACACATATTGCATCATTTCTTCAGCGGGAGCTCCCATCTGCACCTCCTCAATGTAGTGTCTGATGCAGAATGCTCATTTAGCGTTTATTGAATGAACGGATGAAAGAGTGAAGACAAATCTTGGTGGATGGGGTGAGAGAAGTTTCGAATTGTGCTTTGGCCTTAAGTTGAGCTCTGCATTCTAACACTTCACAGGCATCAATCTCAAAGTGCAGCAGAAAAGAACTGATAAAAATCTCATTTTAAAGCAATTACTGAGAGTATGGAAAATGACTTTCACAAGGAAGCGTAATGTTAAGATAACACAACTTTTACAATATTGCCTGGAATGGCTGCTATCTTTTCAGCAAAGTGACTTTAGGTTTGAGTGTTGGGCAGTGGTACCAAGTACCAGGAACCCTCTGACCACCAGTACTGTTGATGTTCCCTTCACTTCTTACTTTCTCTCCCAGGAACTCATTCTAGATCCAGAAGCAAGTGAGAAGACCTGGACCCACAGGGTTATTTAGGGCTGTTGTGGGCTGGGTGATATCCTTAAGTCCCCCACCTCCCACCACAACCCCTGCAGCCCCTGGGCTCTGCTGACATCAGTCCTCCACAACCGTAGCTCAGATCCCATGCCTCTACCCCAAGTGGTCTGTTGGATGCTGGACATTGGTCGAAGTTCTTAGGGGCTTTGATCTTAGGGGCCTTCCTTCCCTCAACCATGAAGCCACCCTAAAGGGGTGGTCTACTGTGTTATTCAAGGACCCGGTCTGAACAAGCTCACAACTTCCCCAAGGACAGGCCCATTGGCTCTGCCGGGGGAGTCCCTGAAGGGCTGCCACGGTACCCCAGTGAAGGGTAATTATTCCTCGGCTTTCACACCCATCGTTAACCATTTCCACAACCAAAAGAATTTTTATTAAATCTTTTTTGTCTTCCTTAAACAACTTCAGGCTCTTTTCAGGCAAAGTCATTGTCTAACTCATACTCACCCATCTCAGAGAGGCAATGATAATAAAGTTAAGGTTTGAGTGCTCTTTCTATCATGAGCCAAGTGTTTTTTTCTTTTTAATGTCTCAAGTGATTAAATCATTTCAACACTCCTAGAAGGTATTACTATCACCGTATTTTGTAGAGGAGAATACTGGTGACCAGGGAGGTTAAGCAGTTTGTCCAATTTATTGCAGACCAAGGAAAGGGAGGCCCAGAAAAGTTAGGGAAATTGTCCACTAACACTGTGAGTAAGTGGCAGGGCTGGTGTTTGAACCAGGCAGCCCGGCTCAATCCCACCCTCTGGGACACCACTCAATGGTATTGCCCTCTGAATAGTGGGACAT